>NC_000011.10:96869394-97172424 GCF_000001405.40 Homo sapiens | reverse complement strand
GCCATTATTGTGAGGCCTCCCCAGCCACGTGGAACTGTTTCTCAATTAAATCTCCTTCCTTTATAAATTATCCAGTCTCCAGTATGTCTTTATTAGCAGTGTGAGAACAGACTGATACAGTTTTAATCTGCCAGTTCCACAGGAGATGGGAGTGGTAGTGGTGGGGCATGTGTGGAGGGGTGAGATGCAGAGAAGAAATACAAGTTAAAACAATGGCACCACAGATCAAACCCAGGGCTTCCTAAGTCAAACCTAGAGGACTCCATACCAACACAAATGGATTAAGAGGGTATTAGGATTAAATAGTCAACCAGCACATTAGAAAGAGCAGGTATTATTTCTACTTTACAGAAGAGGAAGCTGATTCTGTAAACTGTTTAAATATTTTTTTAAAGTCGATTAGTTCATCCATATAACAGCAAAATATTGAAGGTTTACCAGGCACTACATTGATTAGAGATAAGGAAAGACAGCATCATAGAAATGCCAAGTGGATATTATGATAACAAATGTGGAATAATTTTCCAGTAAATGATTGGGTGAGCAAGATGATGCTACGCAGTTATTTTTGTCAAGTCTTGATGTTTAGAAAGGGAAGGAAACTGCTTAATTTTGTCCAAAATTTTTCCTTCTCTCTGTAAATGCAATGTGCCTTTTGTTTGCATAAAATTTTGTTATATACTTATAAAGAAAAATTATATTCTGAAATGGAATTTTAAGCCAATAAAGAGCCAAACTTGGCATAACAATGAAATTTGGCATCATTATAGGTAGAGTGGCTTTTTCTATTACTTTTTTTGGGGAAAAAATTATGTAATTCCCCTTTTTCCTTCCTATGACCACCACTGACCAGAAATTGAGGCTTAGATTCTATGGGAGGAAAAGAAAGCTGAGGCCCATTCCCTTGAGGCAGTAAGGTTATAGGCTGGCTCCTGCAATTTAGCAACAGGATGGAAGAAGGAAGAAAGGCCAGGAGCAAAGCCCTCTGAAACACCTTGGGCCGGACTAATTATCAACGAGTTAACGTTTGCTGTTTCCATTGTCTGCAGTTTGTTCAAGTCTTCAAGCAAAGTTTGTTAAATGGCCAAGCCTGATACCAGCCATCGCTCTGGGAAAAATATAGAAAAATTCTACACCTTGCAAGTTGTAAAGTAACAAGGCATAAGGAGGACTCACCTAGAGTATGGTTAGCAGGAGGAGGCCACAGAAAGAACAGGGAAATCAATGGTCTAGAGCCCTGTTGGATAGTTAGCTGAGGTAGCAAGTAACCAGAATGCATTTATAAAAGAAACAAAGACTCCTCATGGATTCCTAGAGAGCTAAAGAAGAGACTCAGTAAAACAGTAATTTCTTATAGCCAATTATGGGACTTACACCTTAAGGATTTGTTATACTTTATTCTGGCACCATCAGCTGGAAGTATTATATCTAAGTCCATAATTCAACACAACCATATAGCACAAGATTCAGGTTCAAAGTTTCCTTGCCTTGAAGCCTAAATGGTACCAGGGTTGCCACCGGTTGAAATTTGAAGCAGTCATTAGTGAAATTTCATTCTGCATCTTGAACTAATTCATGTCACAGTTCTTATCAATTAATAATCTAAGGCTGATACATTGATCACTTTTTGAGTATAATGACTTAATAAAGAGGCCAAAATGTTTGGTCTACCATGTTTGGAACCTAAGTTTGAGATTACCAAGATTAAACACAGAAGTAGTTATCATGCACTCCTAGTCTTATCTCTTCTAACTTGTTTTGTGGCCCATAATATTTTCAAGTTATTTTAAATTGCTATACTTTATAATTTGAATTACATTGGGCTTTGACTGTAGCAGCGGAGCCTTCCTATATCTATTAATGTTTCATTTATTTTTAATTAAAAATTTAGTATGAGAAAATAACCAAATAAAACCAACATGGTACTATTCCATATTGGAATCAGGTCGGCTAATAAGGACTCATCATCGGGTCCTACTCAGTGGGAACAAGGATTAAGTGGAGATCAGAGACTACCTAATTTCCATTTGCTTTTGTAACAAATTGAGTGCTAGACATATGCAAGGCTAAAATAGTAATTAACAAGGAGAGGGTGCTGGTACCAGGATTTAGGTGAATCTTAGCTTCCCCTTAGCTCAAGTGAATATAAATAAGTCCATAGAAATTTAAATAGCTTGAAAACTGGGTTAATTTTCTCTTGTGCTTATAAATGCTTTGCACAGCAATGGCAGGCTGTTACAGGGCTCAACAATATTAGTGGGGAGAACAACTTTAAAAATGTGAGATTGCATTATCTTCCCAAGGACACAAGATGAGAACTGCCAGGCACACACAATGAAGTAAAAGTGGAGAGTAGAGAACTGGGACTGGGAAAGGTAGCTCATTAGAGAAATTATCTATTCATCTTTAAAACGACACTCTAAGGTATTATTATCTCTGTTATATAAATGGGAAATCAGGCTCATGGAGGTTAAAAAACTTGACTAACATCATTTACATATTAAGTAGCGGAGTTCTGAGTTCAAACCTAGGTCTTTCTACTTTATGACCCATTCATTTCCACTGCCCCACAGTGCCTTATGTTTTAGGGTGAGTATCTCTTCCAAATCTTCCACCACCCCACTCATTGAACCATCACTTTGTTATGTCTTTGAGTTTTGTTTTTCAAAATTCAGTGAAAACAGAATTTAATTTTATGTGCTTGCTTTATTCAGATTATATCACACACACACAAAAGGAACTCCAGGAAATGGGCATGGTTTTTTTATAAATTGAAATAATTAGTATTAAGAATGAGTTGTCATTAGAGGACTCACTTGGCTTATAATTCAGTTAATATAACCTAAAAGGAACAAGCTGATTTTACTTTATGGCACACCTGGCTTTAAGCTGCATTAAAAAAAAAAAAACGGCATTGCTGTGAATCCAGAGAAGAAATTCTGTATCTCAAAGGAGAGTGAATTCTCCTTTGAGAGAGGCAATTATATTTCCTATTCTAGCCCTCCTGTTCGTTGTTCACCAGGACTAAAATAATAGATTCATCTACCCTAAAGGTAGACGTTATTAGTTGTTCACTTGTATTAAGGAAAGTTTGCCTCATTAACAGAAAGCTCCCCCATGCTGTGGCTAGTCATGGTTATGCATTAAGCAGAAAACTTCATTAAATCAGCACTTTGACATTCTTTTACCTTTACATCAGAATTTATGCAATGAGCTTATTCAACTCCCTCACCTTAGAGGAACGTGCACAATTGATTAGATCATTAAATGCCATCCAATCCATGTGTGTAGCTTTTCTTGGTAAATATGCCCAAGTCTATCATAAGAATTACAAACCTAAAATTATATAATTGTACATTTATCATGGGTATGAAAGCTAGGCATTGATTATTACTGGTACTTTAAGAGAGAAGACATCTTCTGAGTAGTTGTAAGTTTCTCAGAAGCATGTTAAAGAGTCACAGCATCAATGTGTGCCTCAAGATATGCTCAGCTTTATCTAACCTTTTTGTTTTCTAAGAAGCATTATCTTATCCATAAAAGATAAAATGACCTTGGAGATATTTTAGAAGTAATTCAAGTACAGGATTTTCTGAGCTTTGAACCAGGTATCTGGCTTGGAACCTCGCCTCTGGTCTTTCAAACTGATTATTTAGCTGTTTAGGGTAATCCTTTAAATAAGAACCAGCTCCAGTAAATTAGTAGTATTCCAACAAGAGTTAGCATCACACATCTTCCCTCAGTCTTGCATAGACTCAGATTTTAATTTAAAAAAATTTCTGCAAATGATTTCAAGGATAATTCATTGAATAATAAGCAATCAAATTAGTTTTTCACTAAATCCTTTTGCTAAAATGATACTGTTTTACAAAGCTTTTTCTTGTTTTGATTGAGATTTTGTCAAGTGAAAACTAGCTGAAGAAATTATGTAAACATGTGAGCTGTTAGAAATAGCCGATAACAGCATGTGCTTATAGAAAACAATTCAGTGCAAAAACCAAAGGCAATAGTAGCAATGTATATACTGCCTCAGGTTTATATACCAGTCTTACTATGCTTCTTGTTGATGGTAGCATATTGGGTCATTTAATCATCCACTCTAGACAGCAGCTTCCCAGCTTCATAAAAAGATCCTAATTATGTCCATTTTATAGAATTATATAATAGGATTAAATGAATTAAGTTATGTGATTTTTGTGCAAAGCGCAAGACACTATGCAAACATTAGCTACTTTTATTAATATATATTTTTTGCTGTCATCTCCATGAAACATCAAAAGTTTGACCTGAGTTTTGTTCAGTTTACTCCTAAACATCTGCTTTATCTTACTTAAAAAAAAAAAAATCATTTCGTCATCTCAAGTTGTATTTTCCCCTTTGCTTCCCACACCATGGTCTTTTTGTTTGCCTATTCACAAAAAACATACTTGTTTTTATTCACTTATCTTTCATTTAGATGGGACTATCACTTTTTAGAAAGTTATTTTCTATCAGTAGCTGAAGCACCTTTGGTAACAGTCTAACCCCTACCTCCAAAGTTTCTCTTCACCTTTTCCTGAAAGTGCTACTTTAAGGACGTGGTAGATTTGTAGAGCAGTTCATGTTTCCATTGGAATCTTGATGATTTTCCTGGTCATAGAAGACAGTGTTCCTAAAATATATGCATGAGTGTCTACTGCATGCACACTGCTATATGGGTGTGTATAAAATTGTAAGAATCTAATAAATTGAGCAGAAAAAAATAATTTTATTTAAAGCTGAAAATACGAAGTAACAGTTTGGTAGAAACAGTGATATAACAGAGCCTGCAATACATGCATCTTGCTGGAGACCCACAAACTAGAGGCAGCAATGCGTGCTGCCCAAATACCTTTTGGAACATTCACTTTTGGAAACTGGAAAGTTATTAAACTTCTACTTGAAAAAAAAAGTCAGCTGGGCACGGTGGCTCATTCCTGTAATCCTAGCACTTAGGGAGGCCAAGGAGGGTTAATTACCTGAGGTCACAAGCTGGAGACCAGCCTGGCCAAGATGGCAAAACCCTGTCTCCACTAAGAAAAATACAAAAAATAGCCGGGCATGGTGGTGCATGCCTGTAGTCTCAGCTATTCGGGAGGCTGAGGCAGGAGAATCGCTTGAACTTGTGAGGCGGAGGTTGCAGTGAGCTGAGATCATACCACTGCACTCCAGCCTGGGTGAGAGAGAGAGACTGTCTCAAAAATAAGTAAAATAAAAAAAATTTGAAAGTCAAGTGGAAGATTAGTCAGCTTTTATCCTTGTTTATATTTGCAAACATCTGAGGACAATGGCATTGATTGAAGAAAAATTAAGTCAGGCATCACCCTTTTCATAGATGGATATAGATTTTTCTCTTTTTTTTTTTTTTTTTTTTGAGTCTGAGTTTCACTGTGTTGGAATGCAGTTGCATGATCTCAGCTCACTGCAACCTCCACCTCCCAGGTTCAAGCAATTCTCCTGCCTCATCCTCATGAGTAGCTGGGACTACACACTCGTGCCACCATGCCCAGCTAATTTTTTGTATTTTTAGCAGAGACGGGGTTTCACCGTGTTGGCAAGGATGGTCTAGATCTCCTGACCTCGTGATCCCCCCACCTCGGCCTCCCAAAATGCTAGGATTACAGGTGTGAGCCACCGCACCTGGCTGGACAGATTTCTTAACGTGGCCTGCAGTTCCGTTTTAAGTCCCAAAATGTTTTCTCCTAAATTATTGTGTACATTTGTCCTAGGCCTGTCTAAATTAGACTTGATTCTGTTTCTTCAATTAAAATTAGAAGAACAAAATGAAGATAATCTGAAAATGAGCATTATGAAAACACCTAACATTTTTCAAAAAAGGTATAAAAGATTTCTAACATCTGAGGAGAGATAAAAAAAGACTAAGCTATATAGAAGACAGTGGAGGCTTATGAAAACATCCATTCTCAAAGGTCTATTTCTGTTTTAACAGCTTTATTGAGGTATAATACACAAAGAACTGCACATATTTTATGTGCACAATTTAATGAGTGTGGACATACACAAACACTCATGATACCCTCACCACAATCAAAGTAATAGACACAGCCATCCCCTCCCAAAGTTTCCTTGTGATCTTCCCCCCAATCTGTTCTACTCCCCTGAACTCCAGAACCTATATCCAACTGCACCGTCAAGACCTTTAGATTTTAACAAGCATCTATCTCAAACTGAACATTTATATAACCCCAACACTTGATCTCCCCTGCCCCCCAACTCCCATTATTGCTTCAAATCTGTTCTTCCCCTCAGTTATTCCCATCTTGCTAAAAGCTAATTCTAATCTTCTAGTTGTTTAGTCAAAAAACATTGGATTTTTTTTGCATTCCACACAGAATTTGTCAGTTTATCTCATTGTCTTTATTTTTAAACTACATCCAAAATCTAACAACTACCACCTGTATTGTTACCACCATGGCAGTCCTTGGCATTTCTCATCTAATATGTTTTAGCATCCTTCTAACTGGACATGGTTGCCCTCCGACATATTATTCTCAACACAGTAATCACAATAATTGTGCTAAAGGGAAGTAAATGTCATGTTATTCTTTCTGCTCAGATCTCTGAAGACTTCCCATTTTACTTAAAAGCCAATGGCCTTACAGTAATCTGTCTGCCCCTATAGAACTTGGCTTCTGCTGTCTCCTTGACCTCATCTCCTACTCCTCATCCCTTACTCCACTCCAGCTACATTGTTTCACGGCCTCCAGCCATGTCTGCGCAGGAACTCTGCGCTTGTTTTTTTTCTGCTGCCTGAAATTTTCTTCCAAATATTCATGTCTTGTTCTTTCTCTAGTCTCTACTCAGATATTTCTTTTTAGTGAAGCCATTGCTGACCACACTATCAAATACAAATCTTCCAAGGCAGCCCTTCCTTCTATAATGGTTATAACCATTTGACTTAAAATATATTTTACTTCTTGATTGTTGTCCGTTATTACAATCATTGTCATTATTACTGGAACGTAAGCTCAGTGAAAACAAGGATGGTATTCTGATTTGTTTTGTGTTGTATCATAGAATTCAGACTTTCACCTGGTAAAATAAGTTGCTAATTTGAATAGGATGTCCACAGAAAATTTAAGGAAAAAAAAAGGACAGACAAAAAACAGTCTTCATGTGATAGTTCTTTCAGATGATCCTTAATATCAGGAGAAAATAATTTTATGGATTAAAGGAATGATGTTAAGTAAGGAATTACAGAAAATTAGTTTCAAAATGGATTAAAGGAATAGTGTTTAGGTAAGGAGTTAGCATAATAAGGGTCATAATAGACAGGTTTTTGCTCATAATGCTGTGAGAGGGAGAAAAGAATAAATGTATATCATATCCTTTGGGACAAAGTTGGAATCTCATCCTGATTTCCTTTACAAGTATTTGTGCTCCATAAATTCCCCAGTTAGATGAGTTACTAAGAATTTAGTTCCTTTACATCATATGGTCACACATCATGTGACTTTATATAGGATTCCAAGTATCAGGAAAATAGGATATATCTAGAGTTTGAATTACTACATTTATTTCACTTTAAAAAATGTAGCCATAGTCAGCAATGAAAGAAAAAAAAATACCGAACAGATAAGGCTTAGTAGCTCTTACAGGCATTTTTACTTCTGATGTTGCATCCCTCCTCACAGATTTCATGCCTTGTAAATGAAAATACTTAATGCTTAATTTGAATGTTACCAGTGTCAATTTCTAGAATGAGTATTCAAGATATATTGATGACTTGCTTGAAAAAAATGTTTGTAGTGGCTTTTAATGGTTATACAATTTCTAAAACTATAAGCTAGCAGAGATTCCAAATGGTAAAATATTTTTCTGATAATTTGAGCTTATGTATTCTCATACATACACTCAAATTATCAGAAAAATATTTTACCATTTGGAATCAAGTTAACGTTTTCAAGTTACATTAGAAAATGTATGTCTCCCTATATATAAGCTTTAGCTATAAATTTAGTCTTTCCGTACCTGTGGAAATCAAATTTGTCTTCTATATTACTTTCATCTCTCTGCAACAAAGCTATGGCTGGTTGATGACAAAAACATCTATCTGTGGTAAAGCTCAATATTTGAATATCTGTAGATACATTTAACATTTTGCTCCAAATTTAATAAATAGCCAAGTATTAAGCCTTAGGCTCTTTAGTATCCACTAATCTTTAAAAAAAAATTTCTACATTACCTTTACAACATAAACATTTTTGTATTTCTAGTTTTATTTATGTGAATCCACTTATTCAAGTATTTTTATGTAAGGTATTTATTTTCTCCCTGAATCCATGTTTTATAGCAGCAAAGATTATTATTTAGAGGTAAGTGAATATATGGTTGTCAGAAGAATATATGTTACAGATGTGATGATTTGGGGGTGGCGAGTGGCTGAGTGCTGAGAAGTATGGAATCTGCAACCATAAAGCACTTAACAGAGAGCCTGGAGAATAGGAAGCATTCTGTAAATGTTAGCTCCGCTGATGCAGTGACTGCTGAATTCTGGCCATATAGGTTAGGGACCAGGGTGTTTCATCTTATTAAGTGGATTTCCAGATACAAATGTAGAAGTAATTTCAAATGTTTTCCCCACTGAAACATAAGAAAATTTTCCAAATGCTGACGATACGTAAATGTGAGCTCAGTTGTTCAATGTTTGTCCAAGATCTCCTAGGATATTAAAATAAAATAAAGCAAAATAAATCTAGCTCTCTGGCACTGTTGAGGAAAGGGATTTCATAGAATTGACATGACTCTTAATGATTTGGTTAATGTAAACATTGCTATTTGATGCATCTTAATTACTAAGTCACTGGTTACACTGTGCTACTTTAAACTTTCATAATAAATAGTCTGAACATATAATCTGGTATTTATGGTTAAGCCTTAAGACTTTAAACTAGTGCAGGCAGTAAAAAAAAAAATGTACAGATGTCATGGATGGCTTCACAGCATTAGAGAATTGCTCTATTACTTGTGAGCTCTTGACATCAACAGATAACAAGATATTCTACAACTGGAGGTTGCAGTAAAAGCCCCAATATCTACACTACATAACTGTTACATAATCTCTGGACTTCACTGTTCTCATTCACACATTGATCAATATTGAACAGAATAATTCAGTCAACAAACATTTATTTAATGGCTGTTTTGTGTCTGACAATGGGCTAGCTGTGAGATGATATTGGAGTTTAGAATCTGCTGCAAATACAGACATGCAAACAAAATCATTTAATATGGTAAGATGATGGCTATAAGCCTCGCAAGTTAAAGGGACCTATAGGAAAAAAGCGGGGTGCTGAGTAAAGTGTTTCAGTATGATTGGGGATTATTGCTTTGACAAGCAAGCAGAAAAATTAAAGAAGAAAGGGAGAGAAGGTTGGCAGAAGAAAAGGAACTAAGGGAGAGAAATGTGAAAAGAAGTGAATGAAGGAAAGGAAAAAAGATTCTAACTTTTAGAAAGAACATGATGCACAAAATACATTGGTGGCATCAAAAGTCTCGTTTTATCTGGGAAACTTTCAGTGAGTGGGAGAGGATGAATTATAAGGAGCATCGGAAAGCAATGCTGCACAAGGAAGAAAGGACTTAAGGGATTAATTTATCTTCTAATATATTTAGAGTTCTTATAATTCATTTAAACAATAGAAGTCTGAGAATTGAATTAGATTACAAGGTCATATTTTCAAACTGATAATTTCTATGATAAATATGGGAAATAGGTTAGAAGATAACGAGATTCAAAGCTTAGAGAAACCAGAGAGGACAGTATTACAAAGATCCAAATGATAGGTGCCAAGGGGCAAACAAGCAAGAATATTTTTTAGTACTGTTTTGCATGTGTTAAAACAACTCCTTTATTCAATAATGTAAGCCTAAAATGGTTGTCATTAATATTGTAATCCCCATGTTATGGAAAAGAAAACTGAGGTAGCAAGGTTAAGTACCACAGTAGGGTAGGATATAAACCTAGGCATTTCGGCTGCTAAACCTGTATTCTGAACCACTATACTTTACTACTTTAAAGACAATACTATGATGATACAGGATGGTAATGAAGAGGATAAGAGGAAAAGTGGTTGCTCATTAAGTATTCTTTGGGAATACATTCAATAGATACGGAGACTGACTCCTGGATTTCTGGCTTGAGGTGGTGCCATTTAAAGTTACATATTACAATAGAAACCATTTTTGTTAGAAGACAGTGAAACCAGGTTTGGATATATATATTTCAGCAAATTTAGGCAACTGTTCGTCAAGAACCTACCAGGTTGAGGACACATGACTAATTCTCTATGGATATAAGCCTCAAATAGAAAACTGGATTGCAGAATGACCAGTCCCAGCCTACTCCTACCCCCAGCCCCATTTAATATTCTGTTCAGAAACACTGTCCAGAAAAACACTCCTTTTACTTACCATTTTTTACTAACCTCACAAACTTATGTCTCATCCCCATAAATCTGAGGATGAGTTTGATCACATGATCTTAACAGTGGGGCAAGTTTCCATCACTTTTTCTTTCCCTTATCTATTCCACAACTTTATAATTGGCTCAAACATAACAGCTGTCATTGCTTCTGTCTAAACAAAGAAAAAGTACTTAATAACCTGAGTCATTTGTCCTTTCACTTAGAATGTTCTCAGAAGAAAAAGGTACAGTACCCCTGCAACAAGAGTACACTTCTATGAGTGTAATAATAATTTAGTCATTACTAACACTGAACTGGAAAATCAAACATATATTTTAACTGATTACTACTTCAGATTTACCTGTGTTCTTTGAATTGGGCTCCTCATTTTAAAATTGGAGATACTTTTTACCTAACCAGGTAGTTGTGTGAATGATATGAGAGCGCAAACTCAGAGAGCACAACATAGTACTTGGCATGAAGGAAATAAATAAAAGTTAAAAAGAGATTCCATTCATTTTCACTTTGAGTCTCACAGCATTTTCCTTATTGCCCACTCTTCTATAACATGATCTGCCCTACTTAGCAAGCTATTCTCATCCATTGTCCCCACCTTCATTTATCAACGATCTAAAAACATTTCTACATTTCATATGTTTTAATTCAATAAGCCTTTTCCAGTAGCATACTCATCTTCTTTGGAGCTCCCAAACTCTGACTAAAAATAACATGTTCTTCTAACATGATCTGATCATGACCGCTACCAGTTGAAAGATCTTTCTAGGTTTCTGGTACTTATAGAATCCTGGCTATGCTCTTTAATATAGGCTTTAACCATTCCATTTACTTCTGCCTTTCCATCCTACCGAAGTCAACTGTAGATACAGCTCCATCCTACCGAAGTCAACTGTAGATACAGCTCCAAACAAACACCTCTTCCCATTCACAAATGCATATCTAAACACCTTATCTTCTTGTCCTGAATATATCTCCTTATTTTAGAAACCTCTTCTTTTTCAAGATACAGATATTGCCTCCTCTGAATTGCAGATAGAGTTGGACAATTCCTCTACCCTTTCACAGACCCTCTTTGGGCTTCTACAATACCACCTGCTATTATGTTATAATTAAAGATTAAAGGGAAATTAGAGTTCAAATAGCTTCATCTATAACAGTGGGTATAAACAAACTTCTCTGGATCCGTAGACAATTACAGCCAGTATCTATGTACCTCTTTTAGATATTAGCCATATGTTTTTGCTCTGACATCTCTTGAATTTTTTAGGGGCCTTGTTATTATTTAAAACATTTTATGTATATCTATTGCTGCTTTAAGAGGGTCTTTGTCCCTGCTTCTAATTTCCTATTGTTTACCAGTTTGAATTTCTACTCCTTAAGCATAGACTCTACCTTGAGTTTGACAATTCTGGTTGCAGATGTTGAAATCTGTCCCTGAACGTCGTCTCTAGATACAGACTATAGCTGGAGCCCTATTATCACTTAGACCACCCCTGCCATCTTCTTGAACATTTAATATTACACACCCTGGGTTCCCAGTCTCTACACAATAAAGCAGAATTTCATTCTGAACTCCAAGTTGATAGCATTTTGTCTGGACAATATCCAGAGAATACAATAATCCTGAAGCATGGTGCTTGTCAACTAGACTAAAATACCACTCTCCACACCTGTAGCTAGGTCAGCACCCACATATTTTCCACCTCTTGGATGCATCTTATTCAGGTTCTAGTCCCTCCTTATTTGTTTTATTTATATCTTTTGGGTCCCCACATGTGACAGGTGTAAGTGATCATTTCTATGGGAAGGAATAAAGGAGTCTTTTAAGAAAAAACTCTATTCACTATTTTTTAAATAATGGTAGGGAAAATGTGGTTATTTAGGAAGAATGGAATTTGCAGAGGCTTTTGTTATTTCTCTGTAAATAAACACTCATACTATAAAGGTGCTTAAAAGACAAACTGAAGGAATACTGTGTTCTCTTTTCTAACCCCTTACTTTGGGAAATTGTGTGTGAAGAAGCACAATAAAAAAATAAGCTTTCAGATCCAATCTCTCACATGTATTGATTTCTTCCATTTTGGTGATTTGTATGGAGCTTCTACCATGAACTCCAACAGAGCTTGCCCTTCTTTGCACAAAGGTTACTAACATGATAAGCCATTTTCACTGTATTACTTTTCTTATCCCATCCAATTTAATGCTTTTAATTTAACCACTCCCTCTTTTTCAAGAATTCATGCTTCTCCCTTGCCTAGTGCAAAATATATATGGCTCTTCCTTGAGAAAGGCCTACAGGATTGCAAAGGTCTAATAGACTCATCAGATATGGTTTTCAAATGTTAAATGCCACACTGACATTCAAAAATTCATCTTGGGTCCCACATAAGAGAAAAAAAAAAGTTGTGCCACTTACAGTTCAGAAAAGCACATCATCTACTGAGTGAGGGCACGAAAGCTGGTTCTCAGCCCCACTTTTTCAAATACCTGTCAAAGAATAAGGAATGCAGCATATTCTGTGATAAAAATTATATTGTATTTTGTTGTTTTCAAAGAATTGTGAAGAATAACATTTTCAAAAATCTTTGCATATAATCACAATTAAATTTATACATGCATTTAATTCTCAAAATCAATTTGTTTTTGGCACATATTTATATGGATTACAGGATTACAGCACTAGGAAGAAACTTAGAAGTAACAGTGTCCCTATTCATTTAGGGGTTATTAAATAATAGAAAGCTGATATTCTAATTTTAAATTGACTCTGCTATACTCTTTCTTATGTCTTTACAGAAAAGGAGCGGATGTGCTAAACAACTCTTTGTTTACATGACAATTACTCCCAAGACAATGAGAGCTTTTAATGACAGAGCTAGACCATATTCATCTTTGTATTGCAGATGCCTAGTATATGTTGTAGTTTATTTTAGGTATTTTTTTTGAAAGAATGAATTAAAACAACCTTGAGCACAGAGGGTCCAAACGTATAGGAGTCTTTCTTCCTTGACGTACACAGCTACACTGAAAACCTCTTTTTTATTATTCCTTTTGCATCAGCTTGCCTCACAAAGGCATACACATTGAGAGCTGTTGTTAGGTTTTTATTGTTATGTTTTTGCTGTTTCTTTGGTCTTGAAGTCTTTCTGTAGAGTGACCACAAGCCTAGATAGCCACTCTTTAGAAAAGCCCTGCTTCAGAGTTGGGGCGGGAGGCAGAGGGAGGGGGGGTGACTGGGGGAAGAAAGTAGGTTCCATGTGTGGGTCAGATGAGACACAATGAGGAGATGAAACCAAAACGCATAAAACAAAGCAAATTTAATACTTACAAATCCCAAAGAAGGTAGGGGTGTCGTGCAAATGGGCGGCTGACAGGAAGGCTGTAGGCAGCAGGAAGCTCAGCCGGTGAGTAGGAAGTGGGAGAGAGAACCTGTTGGATTGTGCCTCTCTTAAGGTTCATGACCTTTTATCCCTTAGTCTTTTCCACGGGGGTTGTGGATTGACTAGTCTAAAGGAAACACATGTGAATGGGGGAACTTATTTATAGGACTCAGGTGTTGACCATTTTATCACCATCAGCAGCTGTGGGGTGTGTTGGGTTTCCTATGGGTGGGATGAGAAACAAGTGAGCCCTATCACAAACAATAACACATGGAGAAGTTTTAACTAGGCCAAAGGTAACGGGATACAGCTAGATTTCTAAAAACCTGTCTGGCCTAGAAATGGATGCCAAGGCAGCAACTATGTTAACCAAATTTATGACAAGATTATTGATATTTTGATACAGCTTGTATCAAGCTTGACATACATCTACTCTTTGATACAGTAAATATTCGTTAAGTCTCTACTGTATGCCATGAGAGTGGTACTCAACCACTGCTTCGCCACACACAGTATTGAAACTTTGTCATATGAGGTCAAGATACAAATTGTTCATGCTCAATTTGCATAGAACATAGGCCTTTTCTTTAAGGCAGTATATAATCTGATTATAGCAGAATTAAGGCTGGGAAAAACTGTGCTATTGACATTGGGTGATCCTAATAAATACACTGGAGGATGTGCTATGCCTAAAATATATTTTTTAAATAGTTTAGATTTTAGTAATTTCCCCCTTAACACCTACCACACAGGTTTTCACATTAATAACTCAAACCCACTTGTCCCATTTTACTCTCTTTGAACCTTACTGCAACTAACAGGTAAAGTCACAATCCTCACTGAGTTTTATATATTTAGGTTGGGCTAATATAGAGCCAAAATGTATCCCTTGAGAAGTCTTTTTCTTCCACAGTTCAACTCTTAAATCCTATAAATGTTATTTCAGCCGTAACTCTATCCTGAATGGAAACAGGTTTTGCTTGAAAGATTTATTCTTGTCATATAAGATGGCTTTATAGCTATGCATACCATTTATTGACCTGACACTGTGCTTGTATTTTTTTCTTTGGGGTAAAACAAATTAAAAGCTTTTTAGGAAATTTGATAAGGAAAACTGATGCTTACATACAGCAGCCTCCCTTGTTTAATGGGTAACTGACAAGAGACTTCTGACAGGGAACTCTCACCCACAGCTCTCCTGTGTTTATTCTTTTAATTTCTCTTTTAAGACGGCTCCTGATCTTCATGGTGACACCATATGAAGACCTGTTATCAAAAATGCTCAAACTAAAGCCATACTTCTCCCACCAGAGATTACAACTTTACAGAAATCAATATCTCAAGCTAAAGGAATCAACTACCTAGGTAGAATTTCAAGCATGTTAAATGTACCAGTTAGCCTCTTAAAGGAGTTTTGTTAAAGAAACATTTTTTTTTTTTTCACTTACGCCCTGGAAGAAAGTAAGAGAGAATAGAAACAGTAAGACTAAGACTTTGAGTTTCTTAAGGGTAAGACCTTCTAATGTAATATTCAGGGCACAGACTGACCTTAGCTATTAAAAGAAATAGTGCAGAAATACACAATAGCAACTTGGTGTTTCCAGATATATTTTTTGCACATTTTTTTTGGTTCTACCTAGAGATTCTTTGTCTGCTCTGTTAATTCTTTAACTGCATCCCACGCCAGGTTTTGCCAAACACTTGAGGTGGATGAACTCTTTTTATTTTATTTTATTTTATTTGAGACTGAGTCTTGCTTTGTCACCCAGGCTGGAGTGCAGTGGCACCATCTCGGCTCACTGCAAGCTCTGACCCCCGGGTTCATGCCATTCTTCTGCCTCAGCCTCCAAGTAACTGGAACTACAGGTGCCTGCCACCACGCCTGGCTAATTTTTTTGTATTTTTAGTAGAGACGGGGCTTCACCGTGTTAGCCAGGATGGTCTCAATCTCCTGACCTCGTGATCCCCCTGCCTTGGCCTCCCAAAGTGCTGGGATTACACGCGTGAGCCACCGTGCCCGGCAAGGTAGATGAATTCTTAACCAGCCATGATCCCAAGATTCTTTGGAGTAATTTTTTATTATTATTCATTACCTCTTCTCTGAGTTTCCACTAACTTCTTATTCTAGGATAACCATAATTCAGAAGAAGAAAGGAAAATTATTCAGCTTAAGGAGTTTAAAATTAGGCTTTTCATATATTAGGGCTACAAAGACTGCTACTTATCTTTTAATCTAAAAAATATGGTAACACAGATGAATAAACTAACCTCTGGAGAGGTTAAGTGGTTGATGACAGTTCAAATGGCTACTTATTGCAGAGTTGGTTCATGTCAATATTTTATTATTATTTACATGAATAAAACGATTCTAGTTTTGGTTGGACTGCTTTTCCTGATCAGATGTTCTATTCTTGTCAGAGCCAGTCTTGTAATCCACCAGTTTTCTACCGCAAAGTCCCAAAACAGTTGGTTGTCTTTACTTGTAAGAATCAGTAAATTGTAGTTAATATACCCTGCAGAAAGCTAAGCCAGGTATCAAAATCTGGTCCTCACCATTGCATTATCACACACATGAGCATAAGTGAGGTAAAATAAAGTTCAGAAACTACTGAATTGAGTACATTTCCATCTCCCACAGTGTTCAGCAGTGTGCTATTAATAGCAGACAAGATAGTAGACAAGGTTATAAACAATCAGGGGAGTAAAGTTTTTAGATAATATCAATCTTCAAAATCTGCAAGCCCTACCTTGACCCAGCTACCCTTTTTCCTTTTGTTTCATTAAGAAATAAATACATAAAACATCATCAAAGGAGAAAAAATTCATTATGTTATCTAGGTTTATATTCCAACTTTTTATTTGGTTTTTAAGATTGGAGAAGTTACATAGGCCTATGAGATTTCTTTTTACCCTTATTTCTAAACTTGAATTTAGAGATTTTACTACTCTCTGACTGGCTTAATGGAAAGAGAGAATAGAACACTGGAAGGATGGTCAAATCAGCTTACCTTTTCTGCAGAAGCCATACAGTTTTACTCCTTAGTAAGACAGAAACAAAAAGACGACAGTGTCTCTTACTATACAGACCAAACGCTTGACCCTGACTGTATGAAAGAAATGAGAGTATATATGTATACTATATTAGCATGCAGTAACTCTGTGCAATAGTTTATATGAGCAAGTCAGCATAT
The DNA here is from genome assembly GCF_000001405.40 of Homo sapiens. Lineage (NCBI taxonomy): Eukaryota > Metazoa > Chordata > Mammalia > Primates > Hominidae > Homo > Homo sapiens. The sequence continues at coordinate 97,155,390 of NC_000011.10, read as the reverse complement.
AGACTCAAACCAATCAGAACAGACTTCTTTGTGGAAATTATGGCAGTGGAGTTGAGGACATTTAGAAGGAAGAGAAAGAACTAACCCCTTCTAAATGTCTATAAGTATGTGTTTATTTCTTGAAGATATAAATCATATTCCTAATCTTCAATATCTAGGTCTTAGTAGAAATAATTAACATTCACCTAGAGTGATTTATCTACACAGATTCAATATAAAATATGTGATCTGATGCAAACTTCATTTATATTACAAAATTTCCTTTTCTATAGAAAATATCCTTGTCATGGAGATGTGTATTCAATACATATTTATTCTAAATATATGTATTAAATACATATTTATTCTAAATGTATGTATTAAATACATATTTATTCTAAATATATGTGTATATATACACTATAGTGTGTGTGTGTATATATATATATGTATATATATATATATGTGTGTATATATATATATATATATATATATATATATGTTCAGTTTTACATTTACAAAGCTAGTTCTACTCTATGCAGACTAGAACTAGAAATTCAGACCCCAAATCTAAGGCCTTTTCTTTCCCACAGAAGTGTGGTTTTCAGGCAATAAACTGAGGTCAACCAGTGTCCATGGTTTTTATTTTTAGCATAGGTCAAACAGTAACCTCAAAGACCCTTCAGTGCCAAACCTATAATGAAAGAGTTCAGGGTCCGATCATTTACATTTCAGCAAGAAATATGTTTTACTCTGATATGCTGGCAGCGGTTCAGTGCAAATGACCTGCTTTCACACATTGACGTTTTTCAAGGTTTGGAGCAATTGGCTTGAAATTTGAAACACTTATCCCTGACTTTCATGCCTCTGATATATAACGGAGTGCTTTTGTGGAATTCTGTCCAGTTATTTCTATTGAATTCCCACCTCCATACAGTTCTCAAAAATGAGAACACAGATTAACTGTCAAGTACACTTTTTGCTGTCAATTTATTTTTAGCCTATTATACAGGATCAGATTTGGGATGGAAACATTCACATGTTTGCACTGCTCTTATTAAATCATTTTAATCAACACACAACACTTTTAAAACAGCATATTCTATTCAAAAGCTGCAATATGGGAAAGGAAGCATGTTATTATGAAATCAACATGGAAACCAAGCACTATGATGTTTAGAAACTCCTCAAGTTACAAGTCCTATTTTTATTTTCCCTCAACTATACTGAATATCACAGGTAAATCTAGGTGGATTTTAAACTTTGCCCTCTTTTAAAAATTCCTAAATTGAGCAAATGAATCTACATGGAGGCACCATTACTATAGTGGTTAAATCCCAGATTCCATCCCCACATCATGTAACTTGAATCCTGACTCTACCGCCTATATAACCTTAGGAAATTTTCTTAATTTCTTTGTGTCTTTGTTTTTTTTTATTTGAAGAAAAACAAGATAAAAATATAGTTTCTGTTTCACACTGTTGTTACAAAGATTTTATGTAAAAATGTACGTAAAAGGCTTACAATTTTTTTAGCATAGATAGTAAATAGTCAATTAAATTTGAGTCAAAGTGTAATAGATAATGGAGAGGTGATTTTTCCAGTATTTCTTTTTTGTGCTATGAAGTATATGTGATTTAGCTGTTAGGATATTATTGGAGAAAATCTAAGGCAACATCTCATCAAAAATCAAAGTAGGTGGTACAGAACATGCTCTGGGCATTGAAAGGAAAAAGATTGGTGCAGACTACAATTTGATTCTAGCTTCTCAACAAAGTGGTTAAGTGCTTTCAGGAGATATCAGTGTCAGTTTTCGAAGTTCCTCACTTTTAAATTGAGTACATTTATCTGAAACTTCCTTATGGTATTAATGAGACAAACATGTCTTCCACTGGAGAGTTACAATGCAGCCTAGGAAGTCAGGAAACGTGTGAAATTAAACAACTTTGAGAAACAGAAAAGATTGAAGAATTTTCTCAACTATGTAATGCATGTACCAGAGCATCAGTATTGATCTCCACTATTAAAAATCAAAATTACATTTTAAGAGCTCAAATATTGAAAACTGGGATACGATTTAGCTTAAAAGTCCCATCAGTTTTGATGTTAGTTGGATATGTTTAAATCTGCATAAATGTTCTTATCAGATGGATGACTTAATTAAATTAAGTTTTGTAATTACAATGCAGATCTTTCATCCATGAATTAAAATATATTATGTAAAAACTCCAAATTAAATTTGAGTTTTATTGTAATAAAGATTCACAGATGGCTAATGAGTCGATATGACATTTATATTTGCATATAATATTATAAAATGTTTTGTGTAACACAATTATCAAATTCCGTGCAGAATTTTATAATTTAAATGAACATATTTTGAAAAGACACAATGGATGCAAAGCCTGGTGTTTAGATAACTTTAAAATGATACCTTATTTAGCTAAAAGCGACACTTAGATTTATCCCAACTGGTCTGATATTGAATTTAGATGGTGTGTGACGATCTGCATGAAGATAATTCTGAGCTCAAATTCATTTTGCTTACATTCTCACATCTGCCACCTATCCTTGATTAGGAGTGTAAGTGTCCTCCTCTAGATTCTTGCATTTATGAAAAAGGGAAATTACCGTTTCCTTCCCCTCAATCATGAACTTGGGTGCTATGCAGAGTACATCCCTAGTAAGAAGGGAAATGGATCTCACAGGAATCAAACATCATCAGTATTAGCTAGCCAATGAGAATAAGCCTTACTCTCTGACGTAGTCCAAATACACTTTGAGAAATCACATCCACTTTTCTGAAGCAATATGTTTCTCTAACCTTTAATACATTTTAATAGAATAGGACCTCATTCCCAAAACGAATATCCAGAAGTCATCCAATTCATAATTCTATTTTGGCTCTTGTATTGAATTCACAGTTTCATTTTATGTCCTCCATATGAACCAAATCCTTTCCAATCCCAGGATTTGCCCTCAGCCTTTATATTGAATAAGTAAGTTTTTTTTCTCCTAGTTTTTCAATTCACTAATTCTTGCTTTCACTCCAATATAGCATTCTTCATCAGTCCAGGCCTTTTATTCAAGGCACAAAGCGTGCATTAACTTAGGTCCTTTAATTTTTTAAAAAAAGGGCTAAAATTCTGCAGTAAAATGTATAGGTATTAATTGCAAAATTTGATGTGCTTGGATAAATGTATACTTCTATATGAACACCATTTTATCAAGATATGAAAAAGCATTTCCCTTATTCTACTAAATTGATAACATTTTTGCCCTTTTTTGTCTAATATTTTTTAAAATAATGAACATTTTATAGTCTTGATCATAATGTCTTTAAAGAGTATCTATTTCTATGTTGGCTGATTTTATGTATGAAGTTATTGGACTAGAGATGACTCCAGCCTCTAACTCTTCACCTTTCTTTTTATATATGGTATTTTAAAAAATTGTCGGCTGGGCACAGTGACTCACTCCTGTAATCCCAGCACTTTGGGAGGCTGAGATGGGCAGATCATGAGGTCAGGAGATCGAGACCATCCTGGCCAACATGATGAAACCCCATCTCTACTAAAAATACAAAAATTAGCTGGGTGTGGTGGCCCATGCCTGTAATCCCAGCTACTCGGGAGGCTGAGGCAGAAGAATCACTTGAACCAGGGAGTCGGAGGTTGCAGTGAGCCGAGATCGCACCACTGCACTCCAGCCTGGTGACAGAGTGAGACTCCGTCTCAAAAAAAAAAAAAAAGGAAAGGAAAAAAAATTGTCATTTTTCTTGAATATGAGGTACGATTAAGAACAGTAAAGATATATGCATGCATATGTTCACTGCATCACTTTTCACAATAGTAAAGATATAAAATCACCCTAAATGACCATCTGCAGTAGACTGGATAAAGAAAATGTGGTACATACACAACATGAAATACTACTCAGCCATAAAAAAGAACAAGGTCATGTCCTTTGCAGCAACATGGATGGAGCTGGAGGCCATTATCCTAGGCAAACTACCGCTAGAACAGAAAACCTAATACCACATGCTCCCACTTACAAGTGGGAGCTAAACATTGAGTACATATAGACACAAAGTAGGGAACAACAGATACCAGGGCCTACTTGAAGGTGGAGGGAGGGAGGAGGGTGAGGATCAAAAAACTACCTATCAGATACTATGCTTATCACCTGAGTGACAAAACAATCTGTACACCAAACCCCATGACATGCAATTTACCTATATAACAACCAGCACATGTGCTCCTGAACTTAATGTTTTTAAAGAAAAGAACAGTAGCATTTGGGAAAGATATATCCTTATATTTATGTATCTATGTAAACAAGGAATTTTTTGGAAAAACATTTTTACAGCAGTACTTCTAAATACAGTAGTAGTATGAGTGTAAACCTGAATTACTCGTTAAAAATCATCAAAATAATGTGTCTTCCCCAGTAGACTCTGCCACTAAGTAAATTACCAAGGGAATAAAGTGTCTAATGAGACTGGAAGGTAGACTACATGATCTCTAGGAACCACCTCAGCCCTAGAATATTTTGATCCAGCAATTGCGAAGATTTAAAAAAAAATGTTTATTTAGAACTTATTATATACCAGGCAATGTTTGCAGGGTGTTACAATTTCACTTAACTCTATCAATAACAAAGTTAATTCTATCTGCTCCTAGATGAAGAAAGATACACTGACCAACAGCAATGCTGCAGGTAAGTGGCCAACACAGAAAATGAATCTAGTCATATATGTCCCTAAAGCTTTTTTTTTCTTGTTTTAGACAGAGTCTTGCTGCGACACCCAGGCTGGAGTGCAATGGCACAATCTTGGCTCACTGCAACCTCTGCCTCCCGAGTTTAAGCAATTCTCCTGCCTCAGCCTCCTGAGAAGCTGGGATTAAGATACCTGCCACCACGCCTGGCTAATTTTTGTATTTTTAGTACAGATGGGGTTTCACCATATTGGCCAGGCTGGTCTTGAACTCCTGACCTCCAGTGATACACCCGCCTTGGCCTCCCAAAGTGCTGGGATTACAGGCGTGAGCCATCGCGCCAATCCCCTGAAAGCTTTTAATATTTTATTCCCTTTGTCTAGATTTATGCCTCTTTTATACCTTCTCTGTTTTCAAATTGAACTTTGTATTTAGTTTTCATTTAAGTTCTAAATATAGTTGTGCCTTTTAAAGATATGGGATAACTATTAAAATAATTCATATAGATGTTCCTTTTTTAAGTCAATGGGTGAATTTTATTTATGAAATTGATGTTTATTTCTTAAACACAGAACTCTTTTTTCTTTGATCTTCTCCCTAAAAACACTGGTCTAGACAATACTGACTGTTTGCAATACATTCACTACCCCTTTTTCTCAATGGTGCCAGCAGGAACAGATGCAACATTTCTAAAGATCTAATTAGCTTCCAAGTCTAGATATAAATATTTTTTTTGTTTTGCCCTTATCACATCTAGGAACAAACTATTAGGGTCCAATATAGTCCTTTTCAAAATGGTGGAAAAAGATAATACAATATCAAGCACGCAAATGTACTGTTTAATTGCTGTTGCTGTAACTGTTGCTGCTGTTACTTACCAAATCTCTTGGAACAAGGGCAGAAAACATCCCCAGCATCCTCCTACTCACTGTGCTGGAGATGTTCCACCGCTCAAGTGGAAGGGTTGAAAAGATTTTAAGTAGTCATTTGTTATCCCATATTATGACACTAATATAAAATGAAGAAACTATTTTCCATGACAAAATGCTAATAAGAGTCTCTGCTAATGAGGTTTTTGTCATATTAATGAAAATAAATGCCAATATGATATAAAATTACTATGAATAAAAATTGCTAATGTAGCAGCCTTCATAATGTGGGGAGGATGCTGAATGCAAAGCAAAGATATCAGGAGAGTGTGTGTGTGAGAGAGAGAGAGAGAGAGAAAGAGAGAGAGACTTAGGGAGAGGCTAAAAGAAATCCTGAGTTGTAATTTCGATCACATCAAAGATACAGAATGAAAAGCAATTAAGGAAGAAGAAAAGTGATAATATTAAATGTACGAAGAAACAAAAAGGAGATTCAATGGAAAAGGATGTCTTTATATCATGATCAGAAACTGTGTTATGGTAAAAATTAATTTATGCTTCTTTGTAGGAAGGAAGTAAAATTTAAAAAATACATAAAGCACTTGACCTGAAAAGCATGTTGTCATCATTAATATTATTCATAAGAACTCATAATATTACTCATAAGAAGAAATTCTTATAAAATGATATATCATGTATGTTCTTGAACATATCAGTGGTTTTTTATTATGATAAAAAACAGGATTCATTCACCTTCTTAGGAATGCATTTGAGTCTACTTAATTATTTAGAAAATCTCAAAGCTGGAAGGTCCCAGAAAGGCATTTATTTATGTTGTGCATTGTCTCTTTGATCTACCACCTACTTTAATGTTGCTGTAACAACATTATCTGTCAAAAAATTTACTACTTTGCACTAGCCTATAAAATACATGTGATAAATTATAGGTGAGAATCACGTATTCAAAAGGTGTTTATTGACTACTGATTGATAACATAACCACTTCAAGAAGTAGATATTAATTCTGAAAAATAAAGCCTAACAACTTGCTTACATGATAAACCTGGGGCATTACAACTTGTTATTAATAAATCAGAATTGGGTGATATTACAGTAACAAGAGGCTAGGGAGATAACCTGACCAGCACGGGAATTAACCAACAGCTACTCCACATGTGGCCTTACAGGGTCTGCCAGATTCTCTTCTTTCTCTCTTCCTGGTATATTTCTTTTTCATGGAGTCCATCTCCAGTAGCTTTGTAAGACAGGGTGAAAGGTTGATCTATTTTGAGTCTTCAAATGCTGAAAAACATTTTTATACTTTCTTCAAACTCTATGGGTAGTTTCAGTAGGCAAAGAATATTGGTATGTTAATAATTGTCTCTCAGAATTTCGAACTATTTTTCTCCTGCTGTTGGGAAGTCTGTGACATTTTCAATCTTATTTTTGATAAGATGTTTTGTTCTTTCTTGGGTTTTTATGGCCCTCTCTTTATCAATTTATCTTCCAGGTTAAGAAATTTTATAATTAGTGGTCTCAATGTCATATGTGTGGGGGGTGTGTGTGTGTGTGTTCACATATGTATGTGCATATACATCGATATGTTTGATTATGTGTATTTTCTCCAGATTGAATGGGCCCACATAGTTCCCTGAATAATTCTGAAAGTCTTACCCTTCAGTCTGAGAAACATTCTTACATTGTTTGATGATGCAAGAATGTTGATAATTTTTTCTTCTTTTTTTATTGCCTTATTCTATAACTACGAATGGTAGGATATTGGTTGATCAGTATTGATGCTTCTATGCTATCTTCTTTTTAATGGTCTATTTTAAATGTACTTTCTGTGGACTTCCCTCTTGGAAACACCACGCCTCATACTCATCTTTTATAGCAACTGGTGCCTCCAAGGAGTAAACTTTCCATATACCTTCGGGTGAATCATCTTTCTTTCCATCCAGCTTTCATTCTGTGGCCATGGACACTATAGGTTGTAACTTCTTTGACTTTCCTAAATTAATTAGCAATTTTTCCTTCCACATCAGCACTCCAAATCTTACTAGAAATCTTTTGTCCACTCTGCAGTTTACTTTGATCATATGGGTTTGTATCTTTGCTGTCATTTTACTAGTATTTCAGGAGGTAAGAACAAAATTTTGAAGGATAAATGAGATATTAACAAGGCGAGGAGAAAGACTTTATTTCAAAGAAATGTACTTTGAATAGAACAGTTTACAAAATCTGGGATTTATTAAGTCACTTCGAAAGTCACCGTGCAGGGGTCCAAATCTGGTCTGACAGCTGGCTTATGTCATTTTCTGTGTACATCATATATACAGTGATGTATACTGTTCAGTCACAACTTTAGTGTTTACAGCTGTCATTAACAGTCAGTGAGTCTATAGGTCACACATGGTATTGAAAATTTTAAGTATTTTTCTACACATCCCTTTGAAAATCAAAATAATGAAATCCATTGCAAACTTCTCTACTTTATAAAAAAAATTTCCCTTATACAAGATATGTAAAGTTAACTTATTTCAGTTCTCCAATCTTTCCTGGTACCTAATCTATTGTGATCACATATATTTGCTATATTAATTTTTTAATACAAGCACAACATTTTATACATTTTTAACAAGCATCAAATAATGAGATAATAAACCCTATCAGAGGTATTGGGTGATCCACTTTTTGCCATTAGTACTTCAAAGAAAAAAGTCGTTTTTTGTTTGCCTTTTAACTATAGAGTGATAGCAACTGAAATTACAAAAGGACAAAAGCAATCATGCAAAGGGTAATTCACTATCTCTTGCTTCTCTTGCATGTGCTTCTACTATTCTCCAGTCTGGAAGAGAACTGTGAGCAGCAACATGTGGAAGAGCAATAGTGCCCACCCTACTCTCCAGAGGACTTAGTGGAAGCTACTTTGGTGTCACTTAAGGGGCACTGAAAGGCTTACTTGCCTACCAGATTTCCTTTAGCCAGTTTATGCTGCTTTAAACATTGTGAACATGAATACATGTGTGTTGTTTAATACAGAAAAATTTAATAAGAACCTACCATGTTCCAAAAAATTATGCTTGGCATGGCAGCATATATCATATTTGCAAAACAATTATCTAGGCAGTCCCCATACTAACAGACAAGCAAATGAATGTCCAGAGTTTTTTTATAGAGATTTTAATTCGTTTTCCTAATTTTAAACAGCAAAAAGTGGCAAAGAGCTTAATCTCATACTCGTGACATTAACACTACTCCTCACTCCACAGTCTCAAACTCAAGGCAGGTATTAAGTAAATATAGGCAGCTGTAATAAACCACAGATTTTAAAATTCCATAAACGGGAATAAAACATATGAAGATGAGGCCAGGTGCAGTGGCTCATGCTTGTAATTCCAGCACTTTGGGAGGCCGAGGTGGGCGGATCACAGGGTCAAGAGATCAAGAGCATCCTGGCCAACATGGTGAAACCCTGTCTCTACTAAAAATACAAAAATTAGCTGGGTGTGGTGGTGTGCGCCTGTAGTCCCAGCTACTGGGGAGGCTGAGGAAGGAGAATCGCTTGAACCTGGGAGGTGGAGCTTGCAGTGAGCCGAGATCACGCCACTACACTCCAGCCTGGTGACAGAGTGAGACTCTGTCTCGAAAAAAAAAAAAAGATGATGAAAGAGGACAATAGTAAATAGTAGGTACAAGTTTTACTAGTCTCACTTCTCTCTATTTCAATTTTGATATCCCCCACAAATAGAAATAGGTACCAATAGTGACTCAGCTAATCCATTTAAATTCCAAAATAATTCTAAGACTTGGGGGACTTACTACACTGGTTTTATAGATGAGCAAGTAAAATAATTAGAATGCTATGAGTTCCTTCGACGTGAGAATTATATTACTATATACAATGTCACAATGTTTTCCAAATTTTAAAAGACTTCCAGCTCTAAGTGTCTGTCTAGGACATGTCAGTCACTTCTAGGTGCTTTGGTTTACAGAGATGAATGGGCTAGGAATGCTTATATCCAAAGCACTGGGCGTAAGCCATGTATATAAATAGCTACAAATACAGAGTACCCTTCACATCCTGACTTTATGCCAATATTCCAATTTTATATAGATATTTCTCTAAACACACAAAAATATGTATATTTCTCTATAATTATCATTTCTTGCCTTGATTACTCTGCTTTTTTCTTATTTTCATATTTTTCTACAGCCAAACCCAAGCTTCCATCAAGCCAAATTCAAATACTGTATAGTTGGCCCTCCTTACTGCATCCTCAGATTCAACAATTTTTTTAAAGCAATATCTACATAAAGTGAAGCACAGGAAAAGAAAGTATGCCTGTATCGGCTCCCAATCTAGGAAAAGGTAAGACAAGCGATTAGGTGAATCCCATGAGTCAAATGTAGCTGAATTAGGAAGACTAAATCAGAGGAAATAAAGCATAAACCATTTAAATCAAAATCAGAATAATAGTAAAAATTTGAAATATATTTGTTTTCATGGAGCTAGCTGGGGGAATGCATCAATCATGGTTCTTCTTTAATTTTTTTAATGTTTTATGATACTTTGACATCTTGAGGTCTTGCAGATCCAGGCAGGGACTGCCCCTCCTAGAATTAGCCATTTCCTAGAGATGGCAAACATGGTGTCCGTGAGCATCTTTTTGGCAAGCAAACTGACCAATCCTGAGTCCATACTCCCTTTATATGTCCCTTTATCAGGTTTTGCAGTCAGGGACAGTATGCCCCTTTCCTACATCACCACAGGATCAGGTACCAAACATCTAAGGACTACCTCCAAAGCCCAGAATCATCTATAGTAATTCAAAGTATCTCCTTCTAAGCTGGCTCAGCATACCTACCCTGCCTCACTTACTTCTTCCCACAAAAATAATACAATAAAAGCTCTGGTCCATCCTCTCACTCCTCTTACTTCATGACCAACTCTGGTGGTTTCCCAGGTGGCTATGCATGGCATCACATGGTATACCGTCTTCTCTTGGGAACTGTGAGTAACAAATTATCTTCTCAATGGCAGTAGCCTCATAATCTGTTTGCTTGCCATTCCTGAATAAAAGTGAAATCCTAGATACATTTAAAACAAGGTGCCTTTCTCATATCTCTTAGAAATAGCAGGTAAGCAATCCTATGTCATATCTTCTGCCCCATCCCCTCCCAACATTGAGGTAACTGCTGGAGGTGAGGGCAGCATGTTGCAATAAGAAGAACCTAGGGTTTGGGAAGAACGTGGCCAAGGGTCTAATTCTATTTCTGCCACTTTCTAGCTGTTATGTTGAGTAAGTTATTCAACTTCTTCAAATATCTGTTTCCATATCTATAAAAGTTATCTACCTTGAAAAGTTGATATGAAGAAATAACATAATTTCTAACAGAGTATTGGAGATCTAGTAAGTACATTGCAATGCTGAATTATTTTTCTTTTAGGGTTCAATTAAAATTTATGAACAAAAATATGTTAGGTGTTGTTTTTTGAAGATCTAAAAGTCAATGTTAGGCCAATATCTAGAAGCTACAAGATGGATTTTGGCTCAGTATAAAAAAAAGAGCAGCTTCTGATTTCAGCTATAACATATACAGAACATGGAACTGTGACTCCATACTATAGGACAAAAGCTGAAAAAACCTAAAACTCAATGAGGTTTTTTTAGACTTATCAGAAAATTTAGGTCACAGGCCAAAACATCACCTCAGAACCTGAAGAGACAGGGAAATACAGAGAATTACAGTTGAGATCAGCTTACCTGGAGCAAAAGATGCTAGAGCAATATATTAGCAGGAATACAAATGGTAGCTTTGATTAATTGCTAGAAGTGAAATGTGGACTAACACAAAAGTGAGAAACTTTTGGAGAATGCAGTCCTTGGGTGGAGGCAAAGCACAATTTCATGGGTTTTATATCAAGGAATCTCACCGGGTTTTCAGGGTAAACAGCTAAGAAAAACTTCTCCTGTTTCTGGCAGAAGTAGATGGATAGTAAACATTTTGAAATATGGTCATAATATCCATATTTGGAGGGCATACGGCTAGAATATTCTCTCCATACCTAAAACCTGCTCAGCACAGAGGAAGACTTTACCAGAGCCTTATCTGACCTGAAAGAAGGGGAAGTGCTCAACTGTCACTCCCTCATCTTCCTGTATCACCTAAGGGGGAAAAAAGGAAGTGGAGAAACCCTTGTAAAGGTCACATGCTAGGGAGATGGGTCACTAAAAGACTAAGTGTAAATCATAAGATTTAGAATGCTTCTCATTGCACTACCTCTTACCATGGTGTCAAAAAATCTGCAGTTATATAACATTGGATTACAGCTGAAAGATCTAGAGAGGGCAGGCTTTATGTAAGGAAAAGATTTTAGGAAAACTCAAAGACATCAGGAGAAACAAAAAGACACTTTGGTATCTACAACTACAGCAAACATTAAGCATAGACCATCTACTTGTCAGAGTATACAACCATATGCTGAAAACCTATTTACCTCAGTTCCTATTACTCACCATATTACATAGTACATCCAACAAGAAATTATAAGACATGTCAAAAGGCAAGAAAAAACACAGTAAAAAGAAAGAAAGCAAGTATCCGAACCAGACTCACATATAGCACAGGTTTTTTTTGAATTACCAGACAGGAAATTAAAAATAACGATTGTTACTATGTTAAGGGCTCCATTAGTCTTGCTAACGGTCTATCAATTTTGCAAGTGGGCGAAGGATATGAACAGACACTTCTCAAAAGAAGACATTTATGCAGTCAAAAGACACATGAAAAAATGCTCATCATCACTGACCATCAGAGAAATGCAAATCAAAACCACAATGAGATACCATCTCACACCAGTTAGAATGGCGATCATTAAAAAGTCAGGAAACAACAGGTGCTGGAGAGGATGTGGAGAAATAGGAATACTTTTACACTGTTGGTGGCACTGTAAACTAGTTCAACCACTGTGGAAGTCAGTGTGGCGATTCCTCAGGGATCTAGAACTAGAAATACCATTTGACCCAGCCATCCCATTACTGGGTATATACCCAAAGGATTATAAATCATGCTGCTATAAAGACACATGCACACATATGTTTATTGCGGCACTATTCACAATAGCAAAGACTTGAAAACAACCCAAATGTCCAACAATGATAGGTTGGATTAAGAAAATGTGGCACATATACACCATGGAATACTATGAAGTCATAAAAAATGATGAGTTCATGTCCTTTGTAGGGACATGGATGAAGCTGGAAATCATCATTCTCAGCAAACTATCGCAAGGACAAAAATCCAAACACCACATGTTCTCACTCATAGGTGGGAATTGAACAATGAGAACACATGGACACAGGAAGGGGAACATCACACACTGGGGCCTGTTTTGGGGTGGGGGGAGGGGGGAGGGATAGCATTAGGAGATATACCTAATGTTAAATGACGAGTTAATGGGTGCAGCACACCAACATGGCAAATGTATACATATGTAACAAACCTGCACGTTGTGCACATGTACCCTAAAACTTAAAGTATAATAAAAAAAAGGTTCCAATGAAAATAGTAGACAACATAAAAGAATAAGTGGGTAATATAAACATAGAGATGATAGCCTAAGAAATAATCAAAAGAAAATACTGGAAATTAAAAATAGCCACAATGGAAATAATTGATTTGATAGGCTAAAACTAAAGAGATGGAAATTGATAGGCCATGCTAAAACTAATAAAGTCAAAGTGGCTATATTAATCAGACAAATATCACTTTAGAACATGGAAAATTATTAGGGCTAAAGGGGACATAATATAATGATAAAAGAGTAATTCTCCACACAGAAAAAAAATATTGATTATATATGCAACTAGCATTATTCTATGACAATATAAGAGGCAATTAGGCAAGAAGACTCCCACCTCTGTGGAACCTAATGCAGCAACATGGCTACACTGGATTGACCCAAGAAGGCAAGCAACAGCTCCTTGCAGACCCAAAGCTTGCCCAATGACCCTATCAAGGCAGCGAGAGTCCTACCTTCGCATGTCAGAGAAGAGAAAGACCTACACTGGCTTGACCCAGCAAGGTAAGCAGCAGCTCCACACAGACAAAATGCCTGCCCAGTGATCCAACCAGGCAAAGAAACTCCCACTTCTGTGTATTTTGGAGAAACACAGAGGATAGTGCTTGATGCAGGAGGTCAAACAGCCAATCAATTTACAATAGACCCAATCTATAGCTCCACCTAGACAGGTGGGCAATCCACAATCACACATTTCTGGGAAGTATATCCTTGAGTTCCACCAGAGCAACAACTCCATCTAACCTTGAATCCCTGCCTGCAATGCTCCCCAACTTCAGATCCCAAATAGCAGAATTGCCCAGTCAGGGAATAAATCATGTGACTTTCTGACCAGAAGTCATTGTAGTACTCAGCCAGCAGCTTCACCTGAGAGCAGAGCCCAGCCAGTGGTTTCAAAGGTGAGCAGAGTAGCACCATTTGACGTCAGAAAGAAAAAAAAAATGGTAGCACAGCCAACTAGAAGACGCACAACCATATATTTACAATTAATTCAAGACCACTTTCAAATAGCATTATACCAGTTTACAGGAGGTATGGCACTCATACCACCTGGGTCATCACCAGCTAGCCCTTTCAGAATCACAGGATAAACTAAATAGTAAAGCTCTGTGATAACTGCCAAAGAATACCTGTAAAAGCCAGAAGAGGGAGCTGTCTCCTCAAATGCACAGAAACAAAACAAACAAAACAAAACAAAAACACATAAGGACATTAGGATTATGAAGACTCAGGGAATCATGGCACTTTCAAAAGAAAGTAATAAACTCTAATAATGAACCACAAATAAATGGAAATGTATAAAATGACAAACAATTCACAATAATCCTTATTGAGAACTCCAGTAGACTATAAGAATATACAGATAAAAAATTTAATAAAATTTGGAAAATAACACACAAAAAAGCAAGAAGAAAAAAATTTGGAGGAATAAAAAAACAGAAATCTTAGAGATGAATAATACAATAACTGAAAAATTCAAAATAAAGTTTCAACAGCAAAATAGGTTAAGCAGAATAAAAATTAATGAGCTGTAACAGAATATTTGAAATTATTCACTCAGAAAAGCAAAAAGACAAAAGAATTAAAAAGAATGAAGAAAGACTGTGAGAATTATGGGACATGATCACGAGATCAAACTTTTGCATAATATATTTTGCAGAAGAAGAAAGAGAAAAGGGGCCAGAGGCATATTTAATGAAATAGTGACTGAAAACTTTCCAAATCTTGGGACAGATGACAACACACATATACAGGAAGCAAACAGCTCTCCAATGAAATTCAATCCAAAGAGAAGTACCCCAAGACATGCAGTAAACTATCAAATATCAAAGGAAAAAATAGGAAAGCAGCAAGAAATAAGAAATGCGTCTCATTCAAAGGAATGCCAGCACATCTATCAGCAAATTTCTTAACCAAAACCAAACAAGCCAGGAAGGAATGGAATGTTATATTCAAAGTGTGGAAGAAAAAAAAACTGCCAAAGTTTCATATTTAGTATTGAAGGTTAATATATAAAACTATTAAAAATAACAGTAATTATACTAATTTCTTGAGTAATATGCAATATAAAAAGACGTAAATTGTGACATAAAAACTTAAAATAATTTAAAATGGTGGGTGTGGAGTTAAAATATATCATCCTTTTTATTGTAATCAAATTAAAGTTGTTGTCACCTTAAAATAAACTGTTACAAGATGTTTTTATAAGCCTTATGGTAAAACAAAACCTTATAATAGATACACTAAAAATAAGAAGCAAGGAATTCAAACATACTACTAGACAAAGCAACTAAACCACACAGAACAGCAGGAGATGAAGAAAGGAAGAAAATATTTTTAAAACAACTAGAAAACAATTAACAAAGTAGCAGCAATAAGTCCTTAATCACCTTTCAACAATCACCTTAATTGTAAGCAGAATTAAAATCTCCAATTAAAAGACACATAGTAAATGAACATATATTTAAAAAAAACGACCCAATTATATGCTGCCTTCAAGAGACTACCAGAAATAACACACACTGACTGAGGGAAAAAATAAAAAAAATGTATTCCATGCAAATAGAAACTAAAAGAGAGCAGGAATAGCAAAACTTATGTAACAAAAATAGACTTTATATTAAAAACTGAAAAAGAAACAAAGATGGTCATTTCACACTGGTATAAGGGTCAATTCATCATGAGACTATAACAATTAGAAATATGTATGTATCCAACATTGGAACGCTTTTCTACTATTGGCAGGAGTGTAAATTAGTCAACCATTGTTGACTAATGCAGTATGGCAGTATGGAAAGCAGTATGGCGATTCCTGAAAGAGCTAAAAGCAGAACTGTCATTTGACCTAGTGATCTCATTATTGGGTATATACCCAGAGGAGCTTAAATCATTCTGCCATAAAGTCACAGGCATGTGAATATTCATTTCGGCACTATTCATAATATCAAAGACACAGAATCGACTTATATGTTCATCAGTGATAGACTGGATAAAGAAAATGTAGTACATATAGACCGTGGTATCCTATACAGCCATAAAAAGGAACAAGATCACGTCCTTGGCAGGGACATGGATAGAGCTGGAGGCTGTTATCCTTAGCAAACGAATGCAGGAACAGGAAACAAAATGCCGTATGTTTTCACTCATAAGTGGCAGCTCAACAATGAGAACTTATGAACTTTAAAATGGAAACAACAGACACTGGGGTCCACTTTAGAGTAGATAGTGGAACAAGGGAAAGGAACAGAAAAGATAACTATTGGGTACTACGCTTAATACCTTGCTGATGAAATAATCTGTACGACAAACCTCTGTGATACAACTTCACTTATATAACACACCTTCCCATGTACCCCCAGACCTAAAATAAAAGTTAAACAAAAATAGATTTAAGTCATATCAAGCATATTTTCTTAACACAATTGTATAAAACTAGAAATCAATCATAAGAGGAACTTGGAAAAAATTATAAACACATAACAATTAAACAAAATTCTTCTGAACAACCAATAAGTAAATGAAGAAAATAGAAATTTAGAAATTTCTTGAGATAAACAAAAACGGAAACACAACATTCTAAATCCTATGGGGCACAGCAAAAAACAAAAAGCAGTTATAAGGTGACATTTTTAGCAATAAATGCATACATCAAAAAGGAAGAATAATCTCAACTGAACAACCTCACATTGCATGTCATGATACTAAAAAAAAGGAGACAAACTAAACCAAAAATTAATACAACGAAAGAAATAATAACGATCAGAGCATAAATAAACAAAATTCAGATAATAAAAATTAAAAAAAGTAAATGAAATAGTTAATTTTCTTTTAAAAAAAAGATAAATGAAATTTAAAAAATCTTTAGCCAAACTAAGAAAAAAGAAAGAAGACCCAAATAAATAAAATGAAGATGGAAAAAGAGACATTACAATAGATACAACAGAAATATAAAGGATTCATAAGAGAATTATAAACAATTATACAGTGACAAATTTCATCACCTAGAAAAAAACGGATAAATTTCTGGACACATGCAACTTACAATGATTGAATTATAAAAACTTAGAAAATATAAACAGACTAAAAATGAGTAACAACACTAAGTCAGTAATAAAAATTCTCCTGTAAGAAGAAAAAATGGAGCAAGGACAAATACACACCCCCTGCAATTGTCCCCTCCATAGGGACATCAAATTGAACAACAGTCCACATAAGAAAGAACCTCTGTAAGAACCAAAAATCAGGCAAGTGATCACAGTATCTGGTTTTAACATCATATCAAGGAAAGAGACAGTGAAAAGGGTAGGAAAGTCAGTATTGCATTGCCTATACCACACTGTTCTCATTTCCTGACTGCACCAAATGTTGCAGAGAAATAATCTGCTTGGAAGAGGGAGACTAAAGTGATTGTAGTACTTTACATTAGTACTTAGTGCTGTACTGTCACAGCAAAACACAATACAGGACAGAACTCAGCCACTATCCATGGAAGGAGCATTAAATCCAGCCCTAGCCAGAGTGGAATCCTCTGCTTCAGTAGTAGAAACTTAAATTCCAGCTAGCACCACAACCACAAACTAGAGTGCCCTGTGGTCTTGAATACATTTGAAAGGCAGTTTGGCTACAAATACTGGAGTTTCTGGGTAGGTCTTGGTACTACATTGGCCTTGGAGCCAGTGGGCTTGGGGTGCATGCAACCAAGTGAGACACCAGCTAGGGCTGGCCAAGGTAGTGCTGGTGTTACCCCTCCCCAACTGCATGCAGTACAGCTCACAGTGGCTCCTTCTGCTTGCAGAAAGGGGAGAGAGAAGTAAAGAATATTTCATCTTGCAAATTGAATATCAGCTCAGCTACAGTGAAATAAAGCATCAATTATAGTCTTAAGGCCCCCATTGTAGGCCCTACCTCCATGGTGACATTTCTAGATTCACTCTGGGTGAGAAGAGAACCCACTGCCATGAAGAGAAGGACCCAGCTCTGGCAGAATTTACTACCTACTGACTAAAGAGCTTTGAACCTTGAATAATAAATATTGGCTATAGCCAGGCAATAGTCACAAACAGGCCTTGGGTGAGACCCAGTAGCATGCTGCCTTCAGTTGTGACCCAGCACTTTCCCAGCTGTGATGGCCATGGAGAGAGACTGCTTCTGCTTGAAGAAAGGAGAGGGAAGAGTAAAAAGAACTTTATCTTGCAACTTGAGTACCAGTTCAGCCTCAGTAAAATAAAGCACCAAGGAGACTCCTAAAGCCCCTGACTCTAAGCTTTAGCTTCTGGATGGCATTTCTAGATCCACACTAGGCCATAAGGAAACCCACTTCCCTGAATGAAAAGACCAGAAGTATTTACCACCTGCTGACTATAGAGCCCTTGGGCCTTAAATAAACATCAGTGGTAATCAGGCAATTGGTGCCGCAAGACTGGGGTGGCAGAAGCCAAGGGGAGAGACTTCCTCCACTTGAGAAAAGAACAGAGAAAAGTAAAGAGGACCTCCTCTTGCAACATGGGTATCAACTCAGCCACAGTAAAGTAAAGCACCAACCAGACTCCTAAAGTTCCCAAGTCCAGGCCCTAGCTTCTGGATGACATTTTTAAACCAACACTTGGCCAGAAGGGAAAATGTTGCCCTGAAGGGAAAGATCCAGGCCTGGCAGGATTCATCATCTGCTGACTAGAGAGACCTTGGGTCTTGAATTAACATCAGTAGTAGCCAGGCAATAGTCACCAGGAGCCTTAGGTGAGGACTGTGCTGGCTTCAGCTGTGACCCAGCACAGTCCCAGTGGTGGTAAATGAGGGGTGCTTGCATCGCTCCTCACCCAAATCCAGGCAGTTCAGCCTGAAGAGATACTTTGTTTGTATAGAGGAAAGTAAGAGAAGGGAAAAAGAGATTCTGCCTGGTAGACCAGGGAATTCTCCCAGAAGTTACCAAAGAATACCAAGATTGTACCTCTATGAGTCTGCAAGAGTCATAGCATTACTAGATTTGGGATGCCCCTAGAGCAGATAAGGCAGCAGTGATGGAGACTTAGATCACAATACTCAATTCTCTTTGAATACCTGCAAAGCCTTTTGGAGAAAGATGGCTATAAGCAAAGTCAGACTGTGAAGATTAGAATAGATAACTAACTCTTTAATCCCCAGATATCAGTGAATATCCACAAGCATCAGGACCATCCAGGAAAATGTGACCTCACCAAACAAACTAAATAAGACACCAGTGACCAATCCCAGAGTAACAGAGATATGCGATCTTTCACACAGGTAATTCAAACTCCTATTAGATAAATTTACCAAAGAGATTGAAGTAACTAAAAAGATTCAAGCAGGCATTCTGGAGCTGAAAAATTCAATTGACCTACAGTAGAATGCATCAGAGTCTCTCAACAGCAGAACTGATCAAGCAAAAGAAATACACAGTCAGAGGAGATAAAAGAAAAAAGAATAAAGCATGCCTATAAGATCTATAAAATAGCTTCAAAAGGGCAAATCTAAGAGTTACTGGTTTTAACGAGGAGGTGCAGAGATCAGGGTAGAATATTTATTTGATGTATTAATAACAGAGAACTTTCAAACCCTAGGAAAAGATATTAATAGTCAAGCACAAGAAGGTTGTAGAACACCAAGCATATTTAACCCAAATAAGACTACTGCAAGACAATTAATAATCAGACTTCCAAAGGTCAAAAATAAGGAAAAGATCCCAAAAGCAGTGAGAGAAAGGAAACTGCATTTAAAGAAGAACCAATATGTCTGGCAGCACACTTTTCAGCTGAAACCTTACAGGCCCAGGAAAGAGTGGCATGATGTATTCAATGTTTTGAAGGAAAGAACCTTTTATTCTAGAATAGTATGTTCAGCAAAAATATCATTCAAAAATCAAGGATAAATAAATATTTTCCCAGACAAACATAAGCTGACGGAGCTGTCCTACAAGAAATGCTGAACAGATTTTGTAATAAAAATTATATGAAGGTACAAAACTCACTAGTAACAGTAAGTACATGGACAAATACAGAATATCCTAACACTGTAATTATTGTGTGTAAACCACCCATATCTTGAGTAGAAAGACTAAAGCATAAACCTATCAAAAAATAAGTGCAATTTTATAAGACAGACAGTATAAGACATCAATAGAAACAACAAAAAAGTTAAAAAGCAGAGGGTATGAAGTTAAAGTGTAGAGTTTTATTTATTTATTTTATTATTATACTTTAAGTTCTGGGATACATGTGCAGAACGTGCAGGTTTGTTACATAGGTATACATGTGCCATAGTGGTTTGCTGCACCCATCAACCCATCACCTACATTAGGTAATTCTCCTAATGCTATCCTTCCCCTAGCCCCCAACCCCTGAGAGGCCCCGGTGTGTGATGTTCACCTCCTTCTGTCCATGTGTTCTCATTGTTCAACTCCCACTTATGAGTGAGAACATGCAGTGTTTGGTTTTGTGTTTCAGTGTTAGTTTGCTGAGAATGATGGTTTCCAGCTTCATCCATGTCCCTGCAAAGGATGTGGACTCATCCTTTTTTGTGGCTGCATAGTATTCCATGGTGTATATGTGCCACATTTTCTTTATCCAGTCTATGATTGATGGGCATTTGGGTTGGTTCTAAGTCTTTGCTATTGTAAACAGTTCTGCAACAAACATACGTGTGCATGTGTCTTTATAGTAGAATGATTTATAATCCTTTGGGTATATACCCAGTCATGGGTTTGCTGGGTCAAATGGTATTTCTGGTTTTAGATCCTTGAGGAATCGCCACACTGTCTTCCACAATGGTCGAACTAATTTACACTCCCACCAACAATGTAAAAGCGTTCCTATTTCTCCACATCCTCTCCAGTATCTGTCATTTCCTGACTTTTTAATGATCACCATTCTAACTGGTATGAGATGGTGTCTTATTGTGGTTTTGATTTGTGTTTCTCTAATGACCAGTGGTGATGAGCTTTTTTTCATATGTTTGTTGGCTGCATAACGTCTTCTTTTGAGAACTGTCTGTTCATATCCTTTTCCCACTTTTTGATGGGGTTGTTTGTTTTTTTCTGGTAAATTTGTTTATGTTCTTTGTAGATTCTGGATATTAACCCTTTGTTAGATGGATAGGTTGCAAAAATTTTCTCCCATTCTGTACGATGCCTGTTCAGTCTGATGAGAGTTTCTTTTGCTGTGCAGAAGCTCTTTAGTTTAATTAGATACCATTTGTCAATTTTGACTTTTGTTGCCATTGCTTTTGGTGTTTTAGTCATGAAGTCTTTGCCCATGCCTACGTCCTGAATGGTATTGCCTATGGTTTTAGGTCTTATATTTAAGTCTTTAATCCATCTTGAGTTATTTTTTGTATAAGGTGTAAAGAAGGGGTCCAGTTTCAGTTTTCTGCATATGGCTAGCCAGTTTTCTCAATACCATTTATTAAATAGGGAATCCTTTCCTCATTGCTTGTTTTTGTCAGGTTTGTCAAAGATCAGATGGTTGTAGATGTATGTAGAGTTTTCATGAGTTTTCTCTTTGCTTGTTTGTTTTTGCAATCAGAGTTAAGTTATCATAAGCTTAAAGTAATGGGCTATAAGATATTATTTGCAAGCCTTTTTGACCTCAAGTCAAAAAATTCTACAACAGATACAGAAAAAATAAGAAGCAAGAAATTAAAACATATTGCCAGAGAAAGTCACTTTTACACAAGGAATACAAGAAGGAAGGTAGAAGGATAAGACCATAAAACAACCAGAAAACATATAACCAAATGGCAGGAGTAAGGCCTTACTTATCAATGATAACATTGAATGTAAATGGACTAAACTCTTCAAATAAAAGACATAGAGTAGACGAATAGATTTTTAAAAATGACTTAACTGTCTACTGCCAAGTAACATATTTCAACTATTCAGACGTATGTAGACTGAAAACAAAGGGATAGAAAAGAATATTCGATGCAAATGAAAACCCAAAATTGCCAGTAGTAGCCATTCTTGCATCAGATAAAATATTTTTAAGAAAGAAATTATAAAAAGAGACAAAGAAGATCATTATATAATGATAAAGTGGTCAAATCAGCAAGATGATATAATTATAAATCTATATACACCCAACACTTTAACAATTATAAATATGTATACACCCAACAACATTATAAATATATATACAACCAACATCCCACTTTCAGCATTAGATAGAGATCCAGACAGAATATCAACAAAGAAATTTTGGACTTACTCTTCTCTACAAACCAAATAGACCTAATAGATATTTACAAAACATTTCATCCAAGAGCTGCAAAACATACATTCTTCTCCACAGCAGATGGGTCGTTCTCAAGGAGACACCATACGTTAGTACACAAAACAAGTCTTAAAACATTCAAAATATTTGAAAGAATATCAAGTATCTTCTCTGACCACAATTGAATAAAACCAGAAATCTATAACAAGGGCAACTTTGAAAACTATACAGACACATGGAAATTAAACAATATGCTTCTGAATTACTAGTGGGTCAATGAATAAATTAAGAAGAAAAGGTAAAAAAAAGTATTAAAACAAAAAAATAGAAACACAACATACTAAAACTTATGGGACATAACAAAAGCAGTACAAAAAGTTTATAGCAATATGTGACTATATGAAAAAGTAGAAAAAAATAAAATAATCAGCCTAATGATGCATCTTAAAGAACTAGCGATCAGAGTTAAGTTGTCATAAGTTTAAAATAATCTTAAGTTTAAAATATCCTTCTTTGTAGATGATATGATATTATATTAAGAAATGATATGTAGACGATATGATCTTATATTTAGAAAAACCTAATGACTCCACCCAAAAGCTACTAGAACAAATAAACAACTTTAACAAAGTTGTGGGATGCCAAATCAATGTACAAAAATCAGCAGCATTTCTATATGTCAGCAGCAAAAAAAAATCTGAAAAAGAAATTAAGAAAGTAATAGCATTTCCAATAGCTACAAATAAAACAAAACACCTAGGCATAAACTTACCCAGAGAAGTGAAAGATCTCTACAATGAAAACTGTAAAAAATTGATGAAAGAAATTGAAGAGGGCAGAAAACAAGGAAAGATATTTTATGTTTATAGATTGGAAGAATCAATATTGTTAAAATGTCCACACTACTTAAAGCAATCTACAGGTTCAATGCAATCCCTATCAAAATACCAGTACTAGAAAAGCCAGAGCAAACCAAACCCTGAATTAGTAGAAGAAAGGAGATGATAAAGATCAGAGCAGAAATAACAAAATTAAAGATAAGCAAAATTAACAAAGTTTTAGACAAAGAAAAAAAATAAAGACTGTTAAATAGTTAAAATCAGAAATGAAAAAGGAAGTATCACAATTGATATTATAGAAATTAAATGATTATTAGAGACTACCATGAGCAAATATATACCAATAAATTAGCACACCAAGACACGTGAATAAATTTCTAGATACATACAACCTGCCAAAAAATCCAAAACCTAAATAGACCAATAACAAGTAACAAGATCAAAGCTATAATAAAGCATTTTCAATCAAAGCAAAGCCCAGGACCCTATGGCTTCATTGCAGAATTTTACCAAACATTACATGAAGAAATAACACTAATCCTACTCAAATTATTTTAAGAAGTGAGGAGGAGGGAATGGTTTCAAATTCATTCTACGAGGCCAGTATTACCCTGATACAAAAACCAGAAAAAGACACATCAAAAAAACAAAACTACAGGCTAATATACCTGATGACATTATGCAGAGATCCTCAACAAAATACTAGCACAGTGAATTGGACAACACATTAAAAAGATATTTCATCATGACCAAATGGGATTTATTCCAGGGATGCAAGGATGATTCAACATACACAAATCAATGTGATAAATCATATCAACAGAATGAATGACAAAAACCATGTGATTATTTTAATTAATGCAGAAAAAACATTTCATAAAATTAAATAACCCTCCATGATTTAAAAAAAGCCTTAAAAACTGGGTATAGAAGGAACACACCTCTATACGATAATAGCCATATATGACAGGCCCACAGCTAGCAATATACAGAAGGAGGAAAAACTGAAGGCCTTTTCTCTAAGATTTGGAACAAGACAAGGATTTCCACTCTCATCGATGTTTATCTACATAGTACTGCAAGTCTAGCTACAGCAATTAGACTAAAGAAAGAAATAAAAATTATCCAAATATAAACAGAAAAAGTCAAGTTATCCTTCTTTGTAGATGATACAACCTTATACTTAGAAAAACCTAATGACTCCACCCCAAAACTGCTAGAACAAATAAACAACTTCAGCAACGTTGTAGGATGCCAAATCAATGTGCAAAAATCAGCAGCCTTTCTATATATCAGCAGCAAAATAATCTGAAAAAAAAATTAAGAAAGTAATAGCATTTCCAGTAGCTACAAATAAAACAAAACACCTAGGCATAAACTTACCCAGAGAAGTGAAAGATCTCTACAATGAGAACTATAAAAAATTGATGAAAGAAATTGAAGAGGGCAGAAAAAAAGGAAAGATATTTTATGTTTATAAATTGGAAGAATCAATATTGATAAAATGTCCATACTACTCAAAGCAATCTACAGATTTAATGCAATCCCTATCAATATACCAATGACATTCTTCCCAGAAATAGAAGAAATAATCCTAAAATGTGTATGGAACCACAATAGACTTAGAATAAACAAAGCTATCATGAGAAGGAAGAACAAAACTGGAGGAATCATACCACCTGACTTCAAATTATACTACAGAGCTATAGTGAAAAAACCAGCATGATACTGGCAACAAAATAGATATATAGACCAATGGAACGGAATATAGAACCCAGAAATACATCCATACATCTAGAGTGAACTCTTTTTCAACAAAGTTGCCAATAACATACATTGGGGAAGGGCAATTTCTTCAATAAACACAGCTAGGAAAATTGGATATCTATATGCAGAAGAAACTGGATACCTATCTATCACCATATAAGATATTGAATCAAAATAGATTAAAGACAGATCTAAGTCCTGAAACTCTGAAAGTATTAAAAGAAACATTGGGGAAACTCTCCAGGACATTGGACTGGGGAAAGATTTCCTGAGTAATACCCCATAAGCACAGGCAACCAAAGCAAAAAATGGACAAATAGGATTTCATCAAGTTGAAAACCTTCCTCACAGCAAAGGAGACAATCAACAAAGTGAAGAGATAAACCACAGAATGGGAGACAATTTTGCAACTATCAATTTGACAAGGGATTAATATTCAGAATATATAAGTAGTTCAAACAACTCAATAGGAGAAATCTAATAATCTGATTTTAAAATGGCCAAAAGATCTGAATAAATGTTTCTCAAAAGAAGACGTATAAATGAGCTGGGCACGGTGGCTCACGCCTGTAATCCCAGCACTTTAGGAGGCCAAGTGCTTTAAATCCAACTTTAGAGCGGATCACAAGGTCAGGAGATCGAGACCATCCTGGCTAACACAGTGAAACCCCGTCTCTACTAAAAATACAAAAAGGACAGTCTCTTCAATAAATGATGCTAAGAAAACTGATATCCACATACAGAAAAATGAAACTAGATCCCTATCTCTCAGAAAATACAAAAATCAACTCAAAATAGACAAAACACTTAAATGTAAGACCTGAAATGCTAAAACTACTAGGAAAAAAAAAAAAAAAACAGGGGAAATGCTCATGACGTAGGTCTGGACAAGGAGCTTTTGCATAAGATCCCCAAAGCACAGGAAACAAAAGCAAAAATAGACAAATGAGATTACATCAAACTAAAAATCTCCTGCACAGTACAGGAAACAATGAGTAAAGTTGAAAGACAACCTGTAAATGGGAAAATATATTTTAAACTATGCATCTGACAAGGGTTTAATATCCAGAATATATAAGGAAGTCAAACAATTGCAAAATAAATAAATAATTTAGTTTAAAAAATGGGCAAAAGATGTGAGTAGGGCATTTCTCAAAAGAAGAATACGAACGTTCAAGTATATGAAAAAATGCTCAATATCACTAATTGTCAGGGAAATGCAAATCAAAACTTCAATGAGATATTACCTCACCCCAATTTAGAATGATTATTATCAAAAAGACAAAAATAACAAATATTGATGTAGATATAAAGAAAGGAGAACACTTATACTAACTTGTGGGAATGTAAATAATCATTATAAAAGTTCTGCAAAAAACTAAAAACAGAACTACCTATGATCCAGCAGTCCTACTGCTACGTATATATATATCCAAAATATAGGAAATCAGTATATCAAAGAGATATCTGCACACCCACATTTACTACAGCAGTATTTACAATGGCCAAGATATGAAATCAACCTAAGCATCCATCAACAGATAAATGGATAAAGAAAATGTGGTATATATACCTAACAATACTATTCAGCCATAAGAAAGAATAAAATCATGCCACGTGCAGCAACATGGATGAACCTGGAGGACATTGTTTAAGTAAAATAAGCCAGGCACAGAAAGCAAATACCACATAATCTAAATTATATGTAGAATCTAAATAAATTGATCTCATAGATTTAGAAAGCATAATAGTGGTTAGCAGAGGCTGGGGAGGGGTGCAGGAAGTGGGTTATTGGGAGATATTGATCAGTGGGTACACAATTACAGTTGGATAGATGAAATAAGTTCTGGTATTCTATTGCACAGTAGGATGACTATGGTTAACAATATTATATTATATATTTCAAAATAGCTAGAGGAGAGGGTTTTTAATATTCTCACATAAAGAAATGATAAATATATGAGCTGATGGATATACTAAATACTCTGCTTTTGTTTTTATCCAGTGTATATGTGTATCAAAATGTTACCCATGCCCTATAAATGTGTATGATTATTCTGTGTCAATTAAAAACAAAATAGAAAATGTGAGGATAAAACTGACAGAGGAACAGACAGAGAGAAGAAGACAAATATAGTTGAAAACTTTACCACCCTTTATCAGCCATTGATAGTTCACATAGGCAGAAAATCAGTAAGGATATAACTAACTAAATAGCACCATCAGTCAGCCTGATCTACTTGACATTTATAAACATATTTCATTCAGCAACAGCATAATAAAAATTATTCTCACACTCTCATGGAACATTTACCAAGGTAGACCACTGTAGGTCATAACACACGTATGATCACATTTAAAAGAACAGAAATCATGCAAAGTATGTATGATCATAACAGATCATAATAGAATTTGCCATAATACAATTAATCTGGAAACAGTACAGAGAGCTGGGAAATCTACAAATACCTGAGGAATTAAACAACACATTTCTAAAAATTCTGTGAGTCAAAGACATCTCAATAGGTTCATATAGAAATATATATATATATATATATACATGTATATATTTCAACTAAATGAAAATGCAACTTAAAATTTGTGAGATGCAGTGAAAACAGTGCCTACAGGGAATTTCATAGCATTAAGTGCACATATTGAGAGAGAAGAAAGATCTAAAATCAATAATCTAAACTAAAATCAATAATCTAAACAGAAAAATTTTAAATTAAAACAAATAAAATTTAAAAAAATAAAAATTAAAGCAGAAAGAAGTGAAATTGAAAACAGAAAAGCAATAGAGAAGGCTCACAAAACCAAGAGCTGGTTCTTTAAAAAGTTTAATAAAAGTTATAAACCTCTAACTACCCAACTTCATATAAATAGAAGACAGAAATCATCAATAGCAGAAAGGAAAGATGTGTCAATGCTACTGATACCATCAACATTAAGGAAATAATATAGACATAATATGAACAAATCTATGATCAAAAATTCATTAAATCAGTCTAAATAGTGCTAGAAAATTTAGTTGTACATGTACCAAAAAATGAATTTCTAAACAGACCTTATACCTTTCACAAAAATTATATCAAAATTCATCAATGACCTAAGTATAAAGGCAGTAGTGTAAAATTTCTAGAAGAAAACGTAGGAGAAAATTTAATTGATTATATATTTACCGACACTATATACAACAGCAAAATCACAAGCTATAAAAGAAAAAATTTGATAAATTAGACTATTAAAATTTAAAACTTCTGCTGTAGTAGAGACACGAGAAAATCAAAAGAAAAGCTATATGCTGGAGAAAATATTTACAAGTTACACATCTAACAAAAGATTTGCACCCAAAATATATAAAGAACACTGAAAAATAAGGAAACGAAAATCCACTTAAGAAATAGTCAAAAGATTTGAACAGATGTCTCACCAAAAAATATAAACAGATGTCAATAAGCATATGTAAAGATGCTCGGTCAACATCTTTGATCATGAGAGAATTGCAAATTTAGTCAACATTGAAATAGCTTCACACATCTATTAAAATGGCTAATTTCCAAATAGCTGACAAATGATGTTGAGAATACAGAGGAAAAAGAATTCCCCTTTTTCTTGTTAGGAGTACAAAATGGTACAGCCACTTTGAAGATGGTTTGGCAGTTTCTTACAAAAATAGTCTTATTATCCACCAATTGTGCTTCTAGGGATTTATCAAATGGTTTGTAAACTTCTGTCCACACAAAAACCTATACACAGATTTTTACCGAAACCTTATTCATAGTAGCCAAAAACTGGAGATTATCGTCATTAGACTTTAATAGATTAATGGATAAAGTAAAGTTCATTCATACAATAAAATACTATTCAACAATAAAATGAATGAGCCATCAAGCCAGGCAAAAATATGAATAAATATTAAATTAATATTGTTAAGTAAAAGAAGCCAGTCTTAAAAGGCTACATTCTCTATTACTCCAATTATTTCACTTTCTAGAAAAGGCAAACTACAGAGACTATAAAATGATCAATGATTTCTAGGGGTCAACTGTAGGAAAGAGGAATAGGTAAAGCACAGAAAATTTTTAGTGCAGTAAGCCTATATACCAGTAAGAACATAATATCACACATTTGTCAAAACCCATAGAACTTTACAGCACAAAGAGAAGACTTTATGAAGTTTTTAAAAGAAATTATTTAGAAGGTTAAGGGTAATGCAGAATGTGATGAAATAATCTACTGATATTGCATATTTCTGAAACAATTTTACTGAAGGCAAAGCAGGGAAAAAGTACTGACCTAAGTAAGTTTGGAGATGAGTGGAGTCTATAAGACTAAAGACAAAAGCAGCTGCACATAAGCACTGTAATCTATTTGATAAAGTTGTTTCCTAGGGTTGCAAGTTAACAATTTGGATACTACTCTGCAAGTATACTGGAAGTGAACAATTAAGTAAATGGTTTTGTATGATGGAGGCCAGTTTTCTCACTATTAGAGTGGGAATTTACAGATAAGCAAGGAGATCTAAGTAGTGGTGGATTGGAGTTGCAGGAATCAATATATAAATACTGATTGGTTTAATACTAATCAGTTTAATGCCGTTTAGTTTAATAAAGGTAAATGGTTACATATAGAATATTTGTATGTGTATGTATGTACAAGTGTTCAGTATACACACATATATTTCTGGGCTCTGTTAGCTAAGATAGTCTCAAATAAATGACACATCAGTAGCAACAAGCAAAACTAGTACTAAAATTCTGGTTTGTAATGCCATTCTCTAATCAAAGGAATCAGTGCATTCTGGAGAAATGGTTGATTCTCATACCGACAAAGCTTATACACAAGATGAGCTTGGAGAACCTCGTAGTGCCAGAAAGCAAGGGAGTGTGAAAAGAAAGGAAACGAGAGGAGAGGGGATGGGAATAAAGAACGGAGAGAAGGAAGGAAGGGAGGCAGGAAGGAAATAAAGAAAGAACATTGATGAAAGAACTCCCAGTAGTCAAAGCTGAAGCAATGTGAGCAATCTAATAAAGTATTACTGGATCATAACCCAAAATAGAAAAAAAAATCATTAGTCCATGCTGATATAAACAAATGTATTAAAACAGGTTTATATAAATTTTCAGCAAAACTGGACTCAGCAAAGATGGGCACAGAGGCTGAAGGTCAAGGTTTGGTCAAGAAGAGGGCTTAGATGGATCTAACTAAAGTCTGGTCAAAGAGATAGTCTTTGCCAAGGATTTATGAGAACCCTACATATTATCTCAACTTTTCTATAAATCTAAAACTTTTCTAAAAATTTAAGTTTAATAGAAAAACAAACAATAAAAAAAAATTTACAAGGAAATAAAAAGAGCTGTCTATAAATGGAATGAGCTACCTTAGAATAAACAATGTTCCTTGTTATTAAATTTTCTAAATAAGGGGTTGGAAAGTGTATTATGATTCTTCAGCAACTGGTTATCACAGATGAACACTCATAGAAACTGTTAGGAAGAGAATTAAAATGTCTTTGTAGTAATTGATCCCATCCAACCCAAAGATTCTAAGACTTTCCTTCCTTCATTTTGAGCTACCCAAAAAGGAAAAGTTAGGAAAACATTGTCTTCTATAGCACATACACCAGATGTCTTGCTGATAGAATTTAGGATAATTACATGCATATTTCTTTTTACAAAGTTTGTCCACAAACAGGTTCCAATTAATCCTCAAAAAGATTCAGAATAAGTGTTTTTATAGTAATATTATCAGTAAAAATTAGAAGCTGGGCTCATTGGTTCATGCCAGAATCCCAGCACTTTGGGAGGCCAAGATGGGAGGATCACTTGGCCAGGGGTTCAACACCAGCCTGGGCAATGTAACAAGACCCTGTCTCTACAAAAAATAAAAATTTAGCGAGGTGTGGTGGTACATGCCTGCAGTCCTAGCTACTTGGGAGGCTGAGGCAAGAGGATAGCTTGAGCCCAGGAGTTCAAGGCTGCAGTGAGCCATGACCACACCACTGCACTCCAGCCTAGGTGACAAACCAGGACCCTTTCTCAAAAAAAAAAAAAAAAAAAATCAGGCTTCAAATGAGTAAATATTTTCTCAAACTATCCTGAAAATTTAATATATAGAATTTTGTTTCCAAGTGAAAATCTAATATATAGAATTTTGTTTCCAAGTGAAAATCTATTTTTTTTTATTTCAAACAGTTACCTTATAAGCAAACAAAAAGAAAAACAGGCATTTGTAAATTAGGAAATATTGGAACAATGCTTGTCATGGACACCTGATATAAATTACCATAGAAGAAAACTGGAACTCAGGATCATTTGTATTCATCACAACACTGACAAAAATTATTGATAAATATGGGATAAAGAGCCAGATGTTTTATCTTAACCACAGGGTGGTGTTTATTATTAATAAACTAGCCATTAGGAGCTCCACAGGTGTTGATATGAAATTAGGAAAACAAATTTGGTCAATTATGCTGTTGATTGTTGAGGGAATGTTAAGTCATTGAAATATAAAGTGTCCATTGATTCTGTATTCCAAACTGTCCCCTTACAAGCAAATGTTTAAAAACAGACATCATGAGTTAGAAACTGTGTGCATAATAAATACCTACTACTAATTAGGTAAGGAAAATAGTAGGGAATAATAACAGTTATTGGCCACGCCCACTAGTGATGTGCTGTTGAAAGTCCTCTGTAGTGGCATTACAACCTCCTTACGTAGTTTTATTTTTTCCATAGCATTTATCAATTTCTAATGTACCACATATATCATATACTATAGCTGCTGTAACAAAGTACTGCAGCCTGGATGCCTTCAATAACAGAAACCTATTTTCTCACAGTTCCAGAGGCTAAAATCCCAATGTCAAAGTGTCCACAGATTTGCTTTTTTCCCCTGAGGGCTTTTTTCTGTTCCAGGCCTCTCTTTGACTTGTAAATGATTGTCTTTACCACGTGCTTTCACTTCATCTTGCCTTTGTATGTGTGTGTCTGTGTCCAAATGTTCTTTTCTTAGAAAGACACCGATCATATTGTATTAGGTTTCACCCTGATAACATCATTCTAATTTGATTAACTCTTTAAAGACCCTGTATCCAAATATGGTTACATCATGAGGGTCTGGGGGCTAGTTCTTCAACATGTGGGTTTTGGGGAAGACACAATTCAGCCCATAATATTGTATAACTCATTTTTAAAATGTTTATTAATTATTCTCTCTCCCACACCAATAACTAGAATGTAAGCTTAGAAATAGAAATAGTACTTTTCCATATTTTGTTCAATGGTGTATCTTAGTTACTGTGAATGATCCATGACACTTCATGGCCACACAAATATATTTCTATACATTGAATAAATATTCTTAATGGTATCAAATATTATTGACTACTTAGAACATGCCAAGTATTTGGCATGGATTGTTAAAAATCATATGGTGTAGGTACTATAATTAATATCCTCATTTTAAAATTGAGAAAATTTCAGTTTTGTGAACTGTGACAGTCATCCAATGCATCACAGTTCATGAGACTTGGAGCTGGGAGTTGAGTTTAGGATACCTGGCTATATGATCATCACGCTTAGACTCCATGCCATGATGTTCCTCAGCTAATAAAACAGTGATTTTTGGTCAGTGGCAGAGAAGAAACAAAGAGATTTGCTCATATGAAAAACAATATAGAGAGTTACTACATGTATACTTAGAAAAATGAAACTCCCATTAAAACAAAAATGGGTTGTGATAGGCAGAATAGTGGGCCCCCCAAAGATGTCCATGCCATAACCCCAGAATCTGTGGCTATGCTCATCGCACAATATCTTTACATGCCAAAAAGGACTTTGCAGATGCAATTAAGGGTATGAACCTAGATAATCCCAGATTATCTAGGTGGGTCCAATATAACCATATGAGCCCTTAAAACTGAACGAGGAAGGCAGAAGAGTGGGTCTTCAGAGAGATATGACATTAGGACTTGACCCACTGCTGCTGGTTTTGAAGAGGGAGAAAGACACAAGTTAAGGAATGCTGTCAACCAATAGAAGCTTAAAATGGTAAAATGTATTCTCCCTTGAAGCTTTCAGAAAGGAAGGAAGCCTTACTAACATCTTGGTATCACCCCATTGAGACCTGTGTGGGTCTTTTGACATACTGAATTATAAAACAAATTTTAATGTTTAAATCACTAAGTCCGTGGTAATTGGTTATAGCAGCAAAAGAAAATAATACAGGGGTTAAGAACATGATTAGGAATTTCAGAAAGAAAAGAGATTAAATCTGAGCTAATTTATTAAATTTCACTAGTATTTAAGGGAATGAAAATAAAAACAAAGTAACATATTGGTTACCCTTCATAAGACAGACAAAGATTAAAAGAATAGCACCTACTGCTGGTGAGCCCCTTGAAAAATAGGCATTTTCATGCAGCTTGGCAACATGTATCAAAGTCCTCAAAAACTTTCAGGAATTAAATATTTAGAAGGTTATCCTGAGGGTTTAATTAGGCAAAAGTACAGTGGTGCAGAAGATAATGTCCACTGAAGCACTGTTTATAAGAGCCATTTATTATTTCCAGGAACACTGTTAATGATTCTGTACTACCTGCAAACTCTTCAGCCCAGGCCCTAAGGCACCTGGTCCCAGGTTCCCTTTCAATTTTCCTGTTTTCTGCCTTCCCTACAGGATGTTTACATTCTGATCAAATTGAACTACTCACCGTTGTAGAACATTCATCTCACCTTTGAAAAGGATTTTCACTGCTATTCCCTTTTCCTAGAAGCTACTGCCATTTCCAGTTTTGACCTCTTAAAAACCATCTCAAATGTCACCTTCTTCAAACCCTCCCTGTCTAACTTCCTTCCAAACATAGGTGAATTTTTCCTCCTTTAAATTACCACATGATTTTTATACTTTTTTTTTTTTTTTTTTTTTTGAGATGGACTCTTGCTCTGTCCCCCAGGCTGGAGTGCGGTGGCGCGATCTCGGTTCACTGCAAGCTCCGCCTCCCGCAGTCACGCCATTCTCCTGCCTCAGCCTCCAGAGTAGCTGGGACTACAGGCGCCACCACCATGCCCGGCTAAATTTTTTGTATTTTTAGTAGAGACGGGGTTTCACCGTGTGAGCCAGGATGGTCTCAGTCTCCTGATCTCGTGATCCTCCCACCTTGGCCTCCCAAAGTGCTGGGACTACAGGTGCCCGCCACCACGCCCAGCTAATTTTTTGTATTTTTAGTAGAGACGGGGTTTCACCGTGTTAGCCAAGATAGTCTTGATCTTCTGACCTCGTGATCCGCCCGCCTCGGCCTCCCAAAGTGCTGGGATTACAGGCGTGAGCTACCGCGCCCGGCCAATTTCTATACTTCTAAGACACATATTATATTTTTACTCTGAGTATAGTTATTGCTATGCTTGTTTCATCCTTATGCTAGAATGCAAGTGCCTTGAAGAAGCAGGAATTATGTTGCAAATGTCTTTATATGCCTTGTAGTGTCAGGCAAGCAGAGTGCCTTACACACACACACACACACAAACACAGAGAATGAAAAATAAATATACATAAAACAGAAATAGAGACCATCTAACTTCCTTTTTCTTCCAATTTCTATGCCTTTCTTTTCTTTTTCTTGCTACTGCTCTGTCTAGGACTTCTAGTACTATGTTGAATAGAAGTGACAAGAATAGGTATCCTCCTGTTGTGTCTCATTCTAAAGGAAAAGCTTTCAATGTTTTATCATTGAGTATGATGTTAGCTGTGGGCTTGAAATACAGGCCTTTATTGCAAAAAAATTCTTGTATATCTAATTTGTTGAAAAGTTTTATCGTAAATGGATAAAAATTTTGTCAACAATTTGAATTTTGTCAAATGCTTTTCCTGCATCTATTGAGTCATATGGTTTTTATCCTTCATTATTATTAATATATGTATTTTATACTTTATTTGTACTTTTATTTATAAAATTGCATTGGGAAAAAATCTGCAAAAACATACCATCTTTTTAATCGTGATTATCTCTGGGTAATGAAATTTCAGCTATGTTATTTCTTACTACTTTTTGCAAATCTGTACTTTGAAATGAATATTTCTTGAAATCATGTCTAATTTCTTAAAGCATGAGCCTAGAGAACACTGTATATTATATGGCAGAATATATCAGAGGAGATAAAAAAAATTAATGAAGACAACAGTATTGAGAGTAAAGATAAACTCTACTAAAAATAACTATTGGTGGTTATGTACAACTTACTTTGCTAAATAGTTTACATAGATTAATTATTATTTTGTCTTAATATTTTCAAGAAGTTTGTAAAAGAGACACTATTATTAAACCCATTTTTCAGATGAGAAAACTGAGGCCCTGGGATTTAAACAGGGTACTAAAAATTAGAGCTAATAGGTTCCTTAGCAAAGATTTGAACTTGGCCAGTTTGTCTACAGGATTATGATGCTTACAAAGAAAAGAGAAAGGCTAAGAAAAAGAAAAGCAAGTGAAGGTAAAATGGGATTAGGATTTATAGTAAAGCCAAAATTTACATGTGATCAGGGGAGACAATATGAAGCTACATTAGTGAGTTCAATTCAGGTACTGACATTCGGGCTGATGGCCAGGGCTCAGTTGAAGTGAGGCTTCCCAAATTCATGAAAGGTTAGAGTGAACTTGAGGGAGACTATTTGGAGTTAAGTATACTTTGAAAATGAGCTTTTCTAAATTTGTTGACCCTACCAATTCTGAATATTCATTATAAGCTCTAGGTTCACAACAGAATAATTCTTTCTAAGCCTGTTCTTGGAAATAAATATACTTGTTTGGAAATTTCACAGCTCTATCACCACTTATGCTCCATACAAAAAGTAAAGAAAATCCACGGGTAGTTATTGCAGCTGTGGAAATATCTCACAAGTTGTGATTTAAATTGAATATGAAACTATTTCCTAGAGATACCAAATACATATTCTTCCCTGAGTCACTGCAGAAGCATTTATGAATCTCTATATAATGTATTTGCTCTGTTATTGAAAGGTTACTGGCATTTCTCTATTTTGAAAATTTTTAGATAAACCAGTCTGACAGTTTTTCTTTGCTTTCCTCTACCTATTCATTACAATCATGTGTGTTTGCATATGATGTGTGTATTTATGTGTGTATATTTTAAAGGAGGCATTCAATTATTTAGTCCTCTTGGCTGAACTTGTCTAACAAAACATGTGCTGTAGCAGATGACAAATATGTCTTTCTTTCAAAGCACACCAAAACAGATACCAGTGGCATCCATTCATAAGCTGGGTATCTTGTTATGTCACTAGTACATTGTCAAGTCCACAGTATAACTAGCTAAGGGCAAACCACAAAAGCTCTGTAGTTTTTGAAATGTTTTTATCTTATCAGATCATGGTTTTAATGTCCCACTTAACTAAGTCATTGTCAACTAGGAGACTAAAAAATATCTTCTGGGAATGGTTACACTATTTATTCATCAGGGAACCAAGATAATTAAGTCATCCATCAAAGTTAATGCTTGCATGGATGTGTGATGTTTTCTTGTTGTCCTGACCTTGGTGTGTGTCTGGTGCGCAGATAAAACCTTTGATGGATATGTGAGCAGTTATAACTACCTCAAGGCTTGAACAGCCCAGTGTGCTGTTCAAGAACAGTATATTTTATCCTTCTGCTTTCAATCATCTTGACTTTCTCCTACAAAGTATCACTTTAGTCTAACCACTCAAGCTGAATTAGTTATTCTTGGCGTTCCCTTAGTCCTTTTCAGCTACCCCTATTAGAATCCTTAGCACAGTATATTATGAATATCTGTCTCACATACTACAGTGTGATCTTTTCAAAGGGTTGGATTATATCTTACTCAGTTTTGTTTTCCTTTTTCCAAGCCTAATGACTGTCATATAAAAGTTGACTAATACAAAATGAATATATTACTTAAATAATTTATGTTTTAACACCATTTGGTATAGATATTGCTAGAAGGATGATAATCTTTAAAAGAAAAAGAGAAATAGAAAAAAAGAATAATTTATTGAGTACCAACCAAGTGGCACAAAATATCTTAGAAAAGATGTTATCTCACTAGATTTAAAATCATGTAAAATTGTTTAAGCCTAGGCTATGCCATTCGAGAGCAGAAAAATGTTTGAATAATTTTACTTTACTGTCAGTTTCTTCAGCTAAAGCATACAAAGTTCAGAATATCTTTTGTGTAGGATTGCTGTGAAAATAAAATAGGGAAAAGTTGTTTTAAAATGACTTGTGAACTGTAATGTACTGTAATGAACTGGTGCACACATAAAATCTGTGATGGATATATGAGCAGTTATAACTACCTCAAGGCTTGAACAGCCCAGGGTGCTGAAAGTGAGAAGAACACTATTGTAATGAACTGCAATGTAATGTACTGACAAATAAATCTTTGCTTGATCAAACTTCAGTCAGGCTCCTGAATCTTCTCCTAGGACCATCTGTGTACTTCCTTAAAAATCCTGTTTCACAGAGAATCCTGCTGAGTTAGTTTAGCAAGAATTCCCCACCCTGGATATCTGATCAGGTTCCTTATTCTCCACAATCTCCCAAGTAATGTCTGATCATCCTGTCCTGTTTTCAGTAACAATCCTGCTAGGTCAGGATTAGCCAGAATCCCAATGTTTCCTCTTAGTAATTTTCCACGCACTGATACCCACTGTGTTCCTTGGCTGTAGATTCTCACTTGCCCATCCTGTATCAGAATTGAGTCCAGTTCTATGCTGAGGTCCCTTTCCTCTGCTGCAGTAGTCCTAAATAAAATCTGTTTGTACCATTTTAACTACTATCCAGCTCTGTTATTGCTTTGACAGTACAACCACAAAAGAAGGTATTATAAAGACTTTCACTATTGTTAATGTCAAATTTAGATTTTTCTCTTGATTGACCTTACACTTCACACAGCTGGCTACTCCCTCCACTTTGAAACACTGATTTGGTTTCCATACTTCACCTACTTATTCATTCACTTAGTCTTTCTTGTATTGTCTCATCATATTCCTCACCTCTTGAAGCTGGAGTTAGTTCTTACACCTCTTTTCCTATCTATCTGTACTTGCTCTTGAGAGGATCTCATTCAATCTTCTGACTTTAAATTTCATCTGAAGCTAAAAATTCCTAAAGCCTTATTTCCAGCTCAGTCTACTTGCCTGAATGCAGATTCACACATCTGTCTATTAAAAATCTCCACCTGGGTATATAAGAGACACCATCAACTTAGCATGTCCAAAACTCAACTCCTGATCTACCTCCAACCCACCCCCATCTGTTCTACCTACAGACTTCTAAACCTTAACTAATGAGAATTCCACTCTTTCAGGTACAGAGTCCCATAATTTGAAAATCATCCTTTCTCCCACACACCACGTCCAATTCATCAGAAAATCATATTGACTCTGCAGTCAAAATGTACACTATATCTGACCATTTCCAGTACCTCCACTGCCACATCCTCATTTATGACACCATCATCTCTTGCTTGGGTTATTACAATCGCTTTGCCACTGGTCTTTTTGCTTCAATTCATTCCCTTCTACTTGTCTGCTTATAGCCCTTTTTATCCTACAAATAGTAAAACCAAAACTTTTTGTGATTTGCCCCTCCCATATCATTACAACTGTCATCTTTCTGATGTCATCTAATGCTCTATCCCAATTTATTTCTCCACTTTAGCCGCATTATTTCTCAAACACACCATCCGCCCTCCAGCCTCAAGGACTTTGCACCTTCTCTTTCCTCTGCTTGACTTATTTGCCTCCTGATATCCACAGGGCTCATTTCCTTACCTCATTCATGTCTTTAAACAAATTCTACCTTTTCAGTGAGGCCTTCCCTGATAATCTTATTTAAAGTTGAAGCCCCTACTATAGTCAATAACTATTTACTTGCACATTTTACAATAACTAAGAGTATAATTGGATTGTTGGTAACATAAAGAATAAATCCTTGAGGAGATGAATACCCAATTTTCCATGATGTAATTATTATGCATTGCATGCTGTACCAAAATATCTTATATGCTCCATAAATACAGACACCTACTATGTACCCACAAAAATTGAAAATTTAAAAATTTAAAAATAAATAAAATAGAAATTCCCAAATTCTTATCACCCATCTCTGCTTTGTTGTTCTCTAAAGCATTTATCATTTTCCAAAATTATTTGCTTATTTACTTAATTATTATTTGTTCCACTCTGCCACCAAAAATGTATGCTCCATAGGCGGGGCTCTGTGGCTCACGCCTGTAATCCCAAAACTTTGGGAGGCCAAAATGGGCGGATCACCTGAGGTCAGGAGTTCGAAACTAGCCTGGCCAACTTGGTGAAACCCTGTCTCTACTAAAAATACAAAAATCAGCCAGGTGTGGCGGTGGGCACCTGTAATCCCAGTTACATGGGAGGCTGAGGCAGGAGAATCACTTGAACTGGGAGGTAGAGGTTGCTGTGAGCTGAGATTGTGCCACCTCACTCCAGCCTGGGTGGCAGAGCAGGACTCCATCTTAAAAAAAAATAAAACATTTAAAAATATTTTTAAAAGTGTGCTCCATATAAGCAAAGCATGTGTCTCTGCTTTATTGGTGACTATTTCCCAGTGCATAGTAGAGTGCCTGGCATAGAAAGACATTCAAGAAGTGTTTAAGTGGATGAATGAGTTATGACAAAATATACTGCCCAAGTAAGCACTAACCACTCATTTTTAAAAAATTTTTATTTGCAATGTCTTATCTCACACCTGTTTGCCAAAATCTACTGTTATATAGAAAGCTATATATAGCTTTCTAGAATTTTGGTTGGGATTGCATTGAATTTTTAGATCAAATGTAAAATAATTGGCCTCTTTACAATATTTAGTGTTCCAACCCATGAACATTCCTCATGTTCATCTATGGAGTAACTCTCTCTATGTATAGATCTTTGATTTCTTTCATCAGTGATTTGTAGTTTCCTGAACTCAGATCGTATACATAATTTATAAGATTTAGATGTAACTTCTCCGGTTAAAAGTTACCTTAATTTATGAATTTATCTTGTTTGTAGATATAAATGTATGGGACTCTCTATTTATGTTTACATTTTTGTATTTATGGAAAACCTTTATATATTTATATAATTATATACAATTTATATCTATATTAAATATATGTTAAGGTTTTTAGGGTAATACATAGCACTAAGTACAGCTTACTGCAATTCAAGAAATCCTAGAATAGGAATTAAAAGACTTGAAGACTTTGTTGGGGGAGGTAGAGCAGAAATCGTTAGTATTCATTCAGCCGCTTGCTACAGGTATACCTGACCGACTACTTCTCAGGTCATCATGGGGATTATATGAGGTTTGTGAAAACATTTTGCAAACATAAACCTCTATAATATTATATATAAAGTATGAGTAGGCAACATAGCCATCAAACAACAAGTAATCTTAGCATTTGCAACTCTTGCTTATTTAATGTAGAATACCATAAGAGTAAATATTAGGGAACACTAAATGTTACATATTAAACACAAGATCACACCCAGTATAACACTTTCTGTTCTAAAGCAACTTTCCACATTATCTTAATTTTTAACAGACATAATAATGTGTTTGAATATGGACTAAAAATATGTATGTATTTATAAGCACCCAGTGTGAAGAACAGCTGGTGTACCCTTAAAATAGTATATTACATGCATTGCTCCTCATAAATATTTTAAAACTCTCATTAATGGGGAAACAAGAAAACTTTATCCAAAAGTGCCATTCCAGTGTTGCAGTGTATCCGTAGAAGCATATATCATAAATATATATTGAAATTCTATAACACAAATAGGAGAGTTACAAATGAGATATAAGGGGAAACAAATCTTTTAAATTGCAATATACATTTTTCACTTCAGAATCGTAATGATCAACAATGATCCATAACAGATTATTACCCCAAACTGTAATAAATCTTCTGCCCTCATATTATAAGCACTTAAGACAGTCTTGGGACCACAGTGGCAAGGCTTATATTTCACCTTGTCTTCATATAATCTAGGATATACATCTATGAGCTTGTAATATGCTTAACACATATTTCCATGCATGGCTGAAACTAAAATCTATTGCCATGGGGCTTAAAATTCAATAACAATTGCTCTTCACACTCCAAGAGAATTGAAATGGCCAAAGGAATCATCAAATACACATATAATAATAATGACACCAGGTGACTGTTCACCTTTAACCACTGGAGGAGA
Source organism: Homo sapiens (assembly GCF_000001405.40). Taxonomy (NCBI): domain Eukaryota; kingdom Metazoa; phylum Chordata; class Mammalia; order Primates; family Hominidae; genus Homo; species Homo sapiens. The sequence continues at coordinate 97,114,155 of NC_000011.10, read as the reverse complement.
GGCAAGCTGTAGAATCCGCAGCCTTTGGAAATGGATCCTGATGTTCACCTTTTGTGTGCAATGCATCGAGTTACCTCTGAGTTTCTCTGCTCATATATCCAGACACTCTTCCTTGGCAGGGAGAGGTCAGAAAGCACCAGGAGATTAATCTTCTTCCACTTTTCCTAATATATGCAAAGTTTCTCTTATGCAGTTTTATATTATAAACATGATTTTACTCATCAATGTATAAATTAAATTGAATACAACAACATATTATATCATTGGAGAAAACGGGGTGGAGGGGAAAGAGAGGGAGGGAGAAGTTGGAGAGAGATTGACAGAACTTACTATTTTGGAAGACCGGATCAAAAGAATGGATTGAAAAACATATGACTTTAAGGAATTAAAATAGAAAGTACATATGCATAGAACAAAATTAAACTCCACTGAAAGCTTTGATCACTGTGCTTGTGCAGCATTATGGTTTTACAGTTTTACTGCATATCATTAAAATTCAGAAATATTAGTACTACCACTTATGCATCATAAAGAAGTATTCAAGCCATATGGGATGACAACGTTTTATGCCTCCACATAGGATTAATCCAGACAAGACAAAAGTGTTACAGTTTGAACATAAACTGATTTGGAAATAGACTGCAGATAATTTGCTAAACTGTAATTCACTTTTTTACTTTTATTAAATGTTATTAATAGTTAACATGCATTGAGTATTTACCACATGTAAGGCACGGTGCTAATTCCCCTCTGTGCACCAATTCATTTATTAACAATGCCATTACTGAGGTTGGTGCAACTATTTCCTCCATTTTACAGTTGATAAAACTGAGGCTTACAGGGATTAAGAAACCTGGTCATGATTTTACATCTTACATATTTGAAGCCAGGGCTGGGACCCAGGTCAGACTGACTCAAAACCCCATTCCTTCACCTACTATTGTCATACTATGTTTATTAAAAGTCAACTTTATGCCAGGCACTGTAGTAGGTCACAGAAAAATAAAAACTAATAAGATACTTTCCCTTTACTTGTTGAGCCTATGATCTAGCGAGAAAAATATAGAAGCAGCGTGTAATACTATAGTAAGTATGAGGATGAAGTTTTGAACGTCATACAAGTTTGAGAAAATACTGCACAGAGGGGCTAGTTTTAGGGCAGTCACTTCAAGAATCTGCAGGCATTTGCTAAAAAGAGAAAGGGTCCAAGAGAAGTTCCTAGAATCCTAAATACAACCACCAAACAAAGATGTAAGAGAATAAAACTTTTTTTGTTTTGTTTTCTGCTTCTGTAACAGGAAGGTCAATATGAAAGTGAGGCTGCTGTGCTTGTGGCAGTTGGCAGAGATTTTATATGTTGGTTTCAATAAAAGGGTATAAAAATAGGAATGTGATGAGAGATATAAGGCAGATGTTCTGCTAAAATTAAGTAAGCATTCTCAGTTTTCAGAATAATATGGCCTAAGGGTAAGCAAGTCTGAGAAAGCATATTCTGCTTTTTAGATTTAGGAAGAAAGGTGGGGAGTTTGGGCTTAAGACTTGTAATTCTTTTACATGCAAAGATTGCAAAAAGCAATCCCAAGGCACTTAGGTATTGAAAAAATCAAAAACCTTTTGCACTCTTTCCTACTTGGCAAAAGGAAATCTTTCCTTTATTATTCCCATGCCCAGGCCTACCTTATTCAAAATCTTTTACAAATCATGGTGTCTGTAGTCTCTGACTAGGTTATGGCAGTGTTGTTTTGGACACTTTAAGTGGCAGAATTATTTGCTAAGTGGTCTGTCAAGTCAGCATACAAACAGTATTCAAGACTCTGGGCTCCGATGACGGGAATGAGGAGACAAACAAACAAATAATTATTCATAGTCCTTGTACAATTTCCCTTAACCATATTCTGATAATTCTAAGATTTAGTCACGAGAAATTATCCCAACCCCTGACAGAAGGTTTTTAACTTCCTTTCTAAGGTAAGTTTTTCAAGTAGCATTAAAATTTTCTAAATTTTTCACTACTTTTCCAGATCATTTGGTGATGTTAAAAATCCAGGACAAATTTCTAGAACAGAGATGCTGAGGACTGCACAGGTGCCATATCTGCAGGCTTAAACAGTATCTACTGCTGCTTTTTTCTCTTTTTTTTTTTTTTGAGACAGAGTTTCACTCTTGTTGCCCAGGTTGGAGTTAAATGGCGCAATCTGGGCTCACTGCAACCTCCGCCTCCCGTGTTCAAGCGATTCTCCTGTTTCAGCCTCCTGCGTAGCTGGGATTACAGGCACGCACCACCACACCTGGCTAATTTTGTATTTTAGTAGAAATGGGGTTTCACAATGTTGGCCAGGCTAGTCTCAAACTCCTGACCACAGGAGATCCACCCGACTCAGCCTCCCAAAGTGCTGTGATTACAAGCGTGAGCCACTGCGCCCGGCCTACTGCTCCTTTTATGTACTATAACTTGACGTCTTTTTGACTACTTCTTGAAGTATATATTTATGATTTCTGTGACACCATCCGTCTGGTTGATATTCTTTTAACAATAGCATGGAGTACTTAACTAACAAATCAAACCTCTTTAAAATCAGTCATTATGAGTGCACTGGGGCAAAAGGCTTCAATCCCACAGTGTTTTTGAATGGTCAGTTTGTCTAAACTAATTTCAGATTCATTATTTGGTTCTTCTATAATTTTAATGTGTCAAATACAAATAGAGTATTACCTATATGTGGGGCATATATCTTTCTTGCTATGTCATAAGCCTGGTAACAATTACTAATGCTCTGACGTGCTTTCTAATGTATAAACAGGGAGCCATCCCAGGGACTAGTTTCAGCAACTGGATACAAGAGTAAAACATCAACATACTGGGTAATGGTTAAATGCCCAGGACTTATTCTTTAGATATTAGTTTAATATTTGTGGGAAATATGAGGGAGTTTAAGTGAAGTCTTTGGACATAACTAATGATTCTCTCATTTGAGTGCAAACTTATATTGGCTATCAGGGTAAACAGGGTTTCCAAACAAGGCTGAGCTTAAGTCAACCACAGCAAAATAAATAGCTTCATGTGAAAGGGGAAAATATCAGTATGGGGATATGAAACGATAAGAAAGTGAGGGTTGACAATTTAGTTAATTTCCTAGCGATAGTGAACTAGGCAATATCCTTGGCTATTAACTATTGTTGTTAGCAAGCAAAACATATGACATGGATAATTAACCCCACTAAATTAGACATTAACAGTCTAGGCCACAGGTTGGCAAACATTTTTTAAATAAAAGGCAAGATAGTAAATGTTTTAGGCTTTGTGGAGCATAGTCTGTTGCAATTCATCAACTCTGCTGTTATAGCACGAAAGCAGACATGACAATATCCAAAAAAATGGGTATAGCTCTATTCCAGTAAAACTTTATTTACAGGAACAGGCATCTGACTGGATTTGGCCCACAGTCCATAGTTTTCTTCCTGTTTTAGAATGAAGGCCTTCGTGGGTGCTCCAAGCAGGATTCTAAGAATAACACTGAATCACTCTCACCCTTGTGTAATCCCCTCTTCTTTGAATATAGGCAGAACCTTATACAATATGACGCAATGTCATTCCTGTCATTATTTCAAATTACATGGCAAAAGGGATGATTGCTTGGATTTGCCAATTCAAACACATGAGTTCTTTGAAATTGAAGCGCTCTCTCTAGTTAGGAGCAGGAGAGAAAGTCAAAGAGATTTGAAGCATGAGAAGGATTCAACACGAGGCAGTTTTCCATTGCTGAGATGAAGAAAGCCTGTGACCAGGAACTTCAAGAAATCTCTAAGCCCTCAGAGCAGATCCCAGCTGACAGCTAGCAAGTAAACGGGGATCTCTGCCCTAAAATTGCAAGTAACTGAATTCAGCCAATAAAGGGAATGTTTTAGGGAGAAGATTATTTCCCATAACCTCCATGAGTGTCCAGTTTATCCAACACCATAATTACGAACTTGTTAGCCCCAAACAGAGGCTCTGCTGAAAATATCTAAACTTTCGACTTGCAAAATATGAGATAATAAATGAGTTCTGTTTAAACTATTAACTTTGTTAATGTTTTATGCAAAAATAGAAAATGAACATATTTTATTTCCCTATGGATATGGTACAGAGGTAGTTTACCCAGAGCTACAGATCAAATATCTGTCACAGCTTTGAGCCCATGGGCTTTTATGGATCCCTAAGTTTTACCTTGAACATGGTGAAACATTCTGCCAATGGGATTGAAATAAAAATAAGGAGAAGGTAACTAAGTTTGCTTCTCTAGAAAATCTAAAACATAGGCCATCAAAACTACATCCAATTATAGGATTCCATTTTCACAGTAAATATGTCCTTAACAGATTCTAGATACCGAATTACTGAGAACATAGCATGTCAAGATCTGCAGTGAGATAGTTAAGGGTTGGGAGGCAGGTAGATCTTGAAAGGTTTAAAAATATCCACCATGGAAACATATTTTTACTCAGATGAAGATATAATAGGAAATTTATGGAAAGTGTATTTGATGTGGTAGCCTTTATATTTACAAAATAAGTTGATATTTGAAGAGTAGCATTGGACAAAGATGAATGAACATCGCTTAATGTTGGTTGCTCCTTTCCACCGGCCAGAGCTGGGCAGTTATTTAATTTCATTTCATTTTTTTTAGTACTCATTAGTTTTCAACACCTAATGTCCCTGGCAATGGGAATTATCTCTTAGGCCTTTAAATTGTCAAGTGTCTGCTCTGGATTGTATCTCTTTTTTATTATAGAATCTCTTATAAAAGCTCAGCTAAGAGCTGTAGCTCCTGAAGGATAGGGATTTACCATTATATTTTCTCTTTCGTTTTCCAACAAAGCTACTTCTGTTTTAACCCAGCTACAAATATGTGAAACAGAGCACTTGGTGTGAAAGTTTCAGGTCTGACACATGACTCTAATAGTTAGATAATTCCTAAATTCTGAAAGTGATCCATCTTTTTTGTATTCATACAGTTGAATCAATGTTCATTCAACTGTGGCAAGAAAGTTTGAGGGATGGCCACCAAGAACACTATTGTTACACTCTGGGCCAAGGTAAATTTTACTTATTAGCTGTTTCCAATCTTCTTGATGGTCTTTTCAATTCATGTTCTGGCATTTCTAGAACCAAAAAGGAGATGGCCCAATTGGTATAAGTCAGGCAGTAAAGGAGTATAAATCTTTAGGAGAGTCTGGAATTCTTTAAATAATTGACTCCCTCTTATTCTGTGGAAGATGTTTAATGATATTTCAAAACCTTGAGAGCTGCTGATTTAGGGTACATATCAGCAAACTATGATCCATGAGTCAAATCAGGGCTGCTACCTGTTTTGTAAATAAAATTTTACTGGTACACATTCAAGCCTATTTGTTTACATATTGTTCATAGCTGCTTTCACACTCTAGTAATAGAGTTGAGTAGTTATAATAGAGAGCATATGGCCTACAGACCTAAAGTATTTACTGTTTGGCCCTTTGCAGAAACACAGTGTGGGCTCTTAGGTCAGCTTTTCTTGATTCGAATTCTGGTTCTGCTACTTATCATCTGTGGGATTGTGAATAAGGTACTTAACCTTTCTGTGCCTCTAATTGTTCAACTGTAAAATGTGGTAATGCTTATGCAGTGTTCTTTACTACCTATAGCACATAATTAGGGCCCTAATCTTAACTATTATTTTTAAGTTTATTCCAAGTGAAAGATATGTGAAATTTCTCACCAAGAAATATTTCTTACTACTATGTATCTTCTGAACTGTAACCACATTAGCTACCATTGCCAGTCACTTACTCTGTACCAGAGAGTGTTGGAATGGCTTACACATATCTCACTTAATTTTAAAAATAGGCTTGTGAGGTATTAACTACCACATTTGAACAAAGGGATAGTGAAAGTCGCATGCATCTTTATGATTATGTACACAGATTTCATAAGTTGTAAATGATAACATGTTCAGATGCTACATACCTGCAGGATGGATGCATTTTCCCCATGATCTGATTAAAAGGACAAAGATCTGTGTGATTATTAGACTCATACAGATCTTCTGCCTGGACTTTTCCCTTGGGAAGACTGAACTGGAATTTAATATTTAAACTTTAAAATGCAAACTTTACTTTGTAAATCTTTGTGAAATGTCTGTCAATTAGTGACATTTACTTAAAATTAGAGCAATCTTCTTGACCCACTTCAGAGGAAAATTAAGAGTGACATCAAGTGACTGCAGTTCTCCTTAGTAAACAGCTATGTGAGATGGTAAGGCAGAGAATCTTTGAGGACATCTGAAGCATGCTGAGCTGGTGAAGATCTCAAAGGGGAAGTGGGATAAGGTCACAGCCTGTGAGCTGTGACCCATTTTAAAACATCCCCATTTCAGAGATTTGAAAACTCTGGTAGCTTACCTAATTTTTTCAATGTCATATGAGATTGTCAGAGGCAGTGTTTTATTAGGTTTCTTGCTTCTTAACTATTTCTCTATATTTCTCTCCAAAATGTAGAAAACTATGAAATTCTAACTGAAGGTAGTTTATTAATGTCACCTATTGTTCATAGCATTGAAAAGCACAGTTCCATATGAATATAGTGATCAATTTTACAACATTCAACACACATTTAAAGAACAGCAACTGTATAATATCACTTTGTGCAGTGCTGTGAAGATATAGAAACACTGCCATGGCCATCTAGGAGTTCAGGATCTAGTAGAAAGGGCAGATAAAACGTAAATACAGGGGATGACAGCTATAAATGTTGTAAGTACAAACAGTATGTTCTGATAATATTCTCAGGGAGAATAAGGTAAAAGATTTTCCCCATTCCCATCTTGGTTTGCTGTTGATCAATATAATATTAAAACTGCAACTACCTCTGATATATTCATTCCAGAAATTTTGCTAGTTCATTTCTGCAACTATAAAATATCAAAGTTCACATGAATTTTTATAAGAATATTTTGTCCATATTTTTCTACCTGACTTCTGGTTCTCAGCCATAGAAATGTGCTGCCAGAATAGGTTGTATAGCTTCCAAAACTGATGGAAAATTATCAAAAATTAACAAATTACAAACATGGTTTATCCCATCTAAGATAAATGAAACCAGAATGCATGAACATGGCTGGTTCTCAAAACAGCATCTATAAATTCTCAATAAAAAGTTCCCAATTAGATTACAGATGACGTACTTTGTAATTCCTTACATTTCTCCTGATTTTATGTTCAACATAAAGAAATCAATCATGACATCCCCATCTAGAGGCAAACCAAAATGTAATTTTGTATAAAAACGTTAATCTTTGTAGTTAGTACAAATGCTATAAATTTTCTGTTATAATATCATAGTTCATTTTATGTTAAAATGGAGAAAAATCATCTGTGTGGAAAAATTAAATTTTACCTCAAATGATAGTTAACATTGAGATGCATCAAGACTACTAAGAAACAAGGATATCCTTACATTCAAAATGGTAAAGTTGATACATTGATACACATTGGATATTTTAATTCATTTATATATATATATAACATTGATACTCAATATAACCATCAAGGTAATCTGAAAGTAATATCACTGTTGGATAACTGGAATGTGACAATTTAGTGATAATTTACTTGTATGCTGTTAGGAAAAAGATGATAAGAATTTTACTTTCATAGGTGGGAATTGAACAATGAGATCACATGGACACAGGAAGGGGAATATCACACTCTGGGGACTGTGGTGGGGTGGGGGGAGGGGGGAGGGATAGCATTGGGAGATATACCTAATGCTAGATGACGAGTTAGTGGGTGCAGCGCACCAGCATGGCACATGTATACATATGTAACTAACCTGCACAATGTGCACATGTACCCTAAAACTTAAAGTATAATAAAAAAAAATAATAAAAAAAAATAAAACAAGAGGACCAAGAAAAAAAAAAGAAAAAAAAAAAAAGAATTTTACTTTCAAAAAAAGATTGAGAAAAAATGTGAGAGACAGACTGACAGAGATGGAGAATAAAAATGAGAGAGAGAAAAGCAAACATTTTCCTACGGGGATAAGGGGAGAGTCTTGCTTGGAAATATTGACTTTTCTTTGGCTTGTCTATTTCTAACCTGACCAATTTCTTTTTTCACAGACTCCTTTGAGAATTTGACCATCTCTTCAGAAATATGCACTGTTTTAGATAGGTTATTAGGTCCCCTAAATTTCATTTATGGTACCCAGGTTAAGAAGATAAGTTAAAGAAGGTGAAAATTCCTCAGTCCTCCTTAGTTAATGTTCCTAGTCACACATTCACTCTCAGTCATTCACAGAACACCAGTAAAATCAAGATTCTGAGGACCAGATCATGATTCATGGTTAATTTAGCAATATCAATACTCCTGGATGGGGTGCTTTCTGGACTGGCATGAGGCTTTTTTCAGACACCCCCTGTTTTGCTCTGTGCTTCATATATGAACACGGAATCTCTAAAAACAACAATAGAAAAATAAAAATACTAAATTTATTATGTACCAATGCTATTCACAGGTGGGTTATTCTTGACTACAGAACACTGTATTTCTTCGACAAGAATGTTTTTTACTAAAATTTCAAGAAAAATACTCTGAAGTATCACTGATCTCAGTGAAACTTCTGAAATTTATATTTTTTTCATCCAAAAAGCTTTTCACCTCCAAAGAATTTTGAGTGAATTTTTAATTAAATCCTGATAATCCCACTACTGAGCTAAAGAAGATATGCAATTAATCTATAAGCATCGTCCATGTTGCTCAACTTTTTTACTCATCAGCAAAGATATAATTTTGAATGTATAGAAAAAATATATAGAAAGTTGCTGTCATATTATTATAAATTACATCTCTCTCAAAGAGAACTTTTTGGTGGGATGGATAACGTATATGATATGTAATATATGATATGTATGTATTATTTCTCCAACTATTATAACATTGATAATATATAATCAATGTAATATATATACAGTGATACAGTATAATCAATATGTAAAATCCATATGAAGTCAATATCACTATTTCTACCATATATTGTTACCTAAGCACACTCATATGCATGATTCATGTTAGCATATACATTTTTTACCCAACAGTTCAGTATTTGTCAAGGCAGAGTAACTCTACTTATAAAATTACTCTTATGGAAAAGTAACCAAGGTGAAATGTAAGTGTATTTATTTTAGTCTGTCATAACAAGTAGTGCTAGCCAGATTTAATACTTCTGTTGGGACTTATACCACGGTAATATTATTTTTTCATTCCAAATTGCTACCCAGAATAGGTGAAAAACAAGAGTATCACATCATCAGCTAGGCCAATAAGAAATCACAGTGCCCTGGTATGACTCTCAACAAGGCTTTTTCTTATTCCAACAATGCAAAACATAGAATTTATGCTGATAATGAGATAGAACCTTAAGCGAGAGAAGGAACTATCTAGACAAAGATAAAACCAGGACAGTTTTTGGAGGGGAAAGAAATTTAACCTTTTTTTAGGAAAACTGTAAATCTAACAATAAAGGAGAGGTGGCATGGCTAAGACTACCATGTGAAGCTGGAATAATGGCCCTTATCTTTGCTCGTTAGTAATTAGCAAATTGATGCATATAATTTAAGATTACACTGGAATTCTCCATATACATGTACAGCCTACATGTTAAATATTTGCCACGCATGCTTTAGAGTCTTGTATCTAAAGAAAATTCTTAGCATGATTTGACTAAAGGGTCTGCAGATAGAATAGAGGACACTGTCTGGTTAGTACAGTCTGTGAATATTCCCATTTAGTATTTTTATATCTAATGAAAAGGGATAATCATAAGAAATTTATATCAGTTACTTGGATCACATATCTTTTGCAAAACACAAAAAACAATATCTAATGATAGCTTACTTGTTATTGCTCCTCAGATACCTCCCAGTTAATTCTTCAAATTTTCCTCAATCCAGTTCCTAATTTGGAGTTCTTTGTTGTCATTAATGGTAAACAACATCTACTCTAAAGTCCCCAACAGAAACATGAAGCTATTCATTCTCTCATTCACCCATTTATCTAATTTTTATATGTTAACATTTAATATCACTTACATTAACCTCCATTATTCCCAAACTTCATATAACTTCCCAAACTTCATAGGGCCAAACATCAATATTTTCTAAGATCTCTCCAAATGATTTTACTATTTACCAGGGGTTGATAAACACTGCATTGGAAAGATGGACTGAATAATGCAAAAATGCAAGAAAAAATGGCGCATCCAGGATAAGTAGTTTCTCTTCTTGAATTTTATAATTCCAATTATTTTTTTTTTAAATAAAATTATTTTCTTGCAGTTCTGGAGGCCAAAAGTCCAAGATCAAGGTGTCAGGAGGTTTGGCTTCTTCTGAGGGCTCTCTTGTTGGCTTGCCTTCTCACTGTTTTCTTATGTCGTCATTTCTGTATCTGCATGTGCACCCCTGATATCTCTTTGTGTGTCCAAATGGCCTCTCATAGAAGGACACCAGTTAGTTTGGATTAGGGCCCACCCAAATGGTCTTATTTTGACTTAATCACTTGTTTAAAGGCACTATCAACAAATGCAGTCAAATTCTGAGATACAGGGGTTGGCCTTCAACATGTGAATTTTGGAGAAACACATTTCATTCCACAACATTGCCATAGTAAATGGAACACAAAAAAAAGGCAGAGGTTGCAATCCTAGTCTCTGGTAAAACAGACTTTAAACCAAGAAAGATCAAAAGAGACAAAGAAGGCCATTACGTAATGGTAAAGGGATCAATTCAACAAGAAGAGCTAACTATCCTAAATATATATGCACCCAATATAGGAGCACCCAGATTTATAAAGCAAGTCCTTAGAGACTTAGACTCCCACACAATAATAATGGGAGACTTTAACACCCCCCAGTCAACATTACATAGATCCACGAGACAGAAAGTTAACAAGGATATCCAGGAATTGAACTCAGCTCTGCACCAAGTAGACTTAATAGACATCTACAGAACTCTCCACCCCAAATCAACAGAATATACATTCTTCTCAGCATCACACCACACTTATTCCAAAATTGACCACATAGTTGGAAGTAAAGCACTCCTCAGCAAATGTAAAAGAACAGAAATTATAACAAACTATCATTAGAGTGAACAGGCAACCTACAGAATGGGAGAAAGTTTTTGCAATCTACTCATCTGACAAAGGGCTAATATCCAGAATCTACGATGAACTCAAACAAATTTACAAGAAAAAAACAAACAACCCCATCAAAAAGTGGGCGAAGGATGTGAACAGACACTTCTCAAAAGAAGACATTTATGCAGCCAAAAGACACATGAAAAATGCTCATCATCACTGGCCATCAGAGAAATGCAAATCAAAACCACAATGACATACCATCTCACACCAGTTAGAATGGCGACCATTAAAAAGTCAGGAAACAACAGGTGCTGGAGAGGATGTGGAGAAACAGGGACACTTTTACACTGTTGGTGGGACTGTAAACTAGTTCAACCATTGTGGAAGTCAGTGTGGCAATTCTTCAGCGATCTAGAACTAGAAATACCATTCGACCCAGCCATCCCATTACTGGGTATACACCCAAAGGATTATAAGTCATGCTGCTATAAAGACACATGCACACGTATGTTTATTGCAGCACTATTCACAATAGCAAAGACTTGGAACCAACCCAAATGTCCAACAATGATAGACTGGATTAAGCAAATGTGGCACATGTACACCATGGAATACTATGCAGCCATGAAAAAGGTGAGTTCATGTCCTTTGTAGGGACATGGATGAAGCTGGAAACCATCCTTCTCAGCAAACTATTGCAAGGACAAAAAACCAAAGACCGCATGTTCTCACTCATAGGTGGGAATTGAGCAATGAGAACACATGGACACAGGAAGGGGAACATCACACAGGGGCCTGTCATGGGGTGGGGGGAGGGGGGAGGGATAGCATTAAGAGATATACCTAATGTTAAATGACAAGTTAATGGGTGCAGCACACCAACATGGCACATGTATACATATGTAACAAACCTGCATGTTGTGCACATGTACCCTAGAACTTAAAGTATAATAATAAAAAAAAGAGGTATGTTCTTCCAATGCCTAGTTATTAAGGCTTTTTATCATAAAGGGATGTTGGAATTTATCAAAAGCTTTTTCCATGTCTATTCAGATGATCATATTGTTTTTATTTTTAGTTCTATTTATTTGGTGAATCACATTTATTGATTTGTATATGTTGAACCAAACTTCTATTCCAGGAATGAATCTGATATGATTATGGTGAATTACTTTTTGATGCACTACTGAATTCAGTTTGCGAGTATTTTGTTGAGGATTTTTGCATCTATGGTCATCAGGGACATTAGCCTGTAGTTTTCTTTTTTCATAGTGTCTTTGTCAGGTTTTCGTATCAGGTTGATACTGGCTTCATAGAGTTAGGGATGAGTCTTCCTCCTTGATTATTTGGAATAGTGGATTTAATGGATTGGTATCAGCTCCTCTTTGTACATCTGGTACAATTGAGCTGTGAATCTAGTCCGGCTAGTCGGGTTTTTTTTTTTTTTTTTTTGGTTGGTAGGTTCTTTCTATTACTGATTCAATTTTGGAATTTGATATTAGTCTGTCTGTTCAGGGTTTCAATTTCTTCCCGATTCAATCTGGGTAGATTGTGTGTTTCCAGGAATTTATCATTTCCTCAAATTTGCGTGCATAGAGGTATCCATAGTAGTCTCTGTGGGATCAGTTGTAATGTTACCTTTGTCATTGCTGATGGTGTTTATTTGGATCTTCTCTCTTTTTGTCTTTGTTAATCTAGCTAGTGGTCTGTAGATCTTGTTTAGCATTTAAAGAACTAACTTTTGGTTTCATTGATTATACGGATGTTTGGGACTCAATTTTTTCAGTTCCACTTTTAATTATTTATTTTCTTCTGTGGTTAGTTTGTTCTTGTTTTTCTAATTCCTCTAGGTGTGAGGTGAGATAGTTGAGATGTTTCTACATTTTTGAAGTAGGTGTTTAGCACTCATAACTTCCCTTGTAACATTGTTTCTGATGCATCCCAGAGATTTTGGTATGTTATGTCTCTGTTTTCATTTACTTTAAAGAATTTTTTGATGTCTGCCTTTATTTCATTGTTTACCCAAAAGTCATTCAGAAACAGGTTGTTTAATTTCCATGGAATTGTGTGTGTTTCAGAGATTTTCTTGGTATTGATTTCTGTTTTTATTCCACTGTGGTCTGAGAGTACGGTTGCTATAATTTTGACCTATATGGATATATTATGACTTGCCTTCAGCCAGGCGTGGTGGCTCATGCCTGTAATCCCAGCACTTTGGGAGGCCGAGGCGGGCAGATCACGAGGTCAAGAGATCGAGGCCATCCTGGCTAATATGGTGAAACCCTGTCTCTACTAAAAATACAAAAAAAAAAAAAAAAAAAAAAATAGCCAGGCACGGTGGTGGGCGCCTGTGGTCCCAGCTATTCTGGAGGCTGAGGCAGGAGAATGGCGTGAACCCAGGAGGCAGAGCTTGCAGTGAGCCAAGATCCCACCACTGCACTCCAGCCTGGGAGTCAGAGCGAGACTGTCTCAAAAAAGAAAAAAAAAAAAAAAGACTTGCTTTTTGGCTGAGCATTTGGTCCATCTTGAAATATGTTATGTGTAAATATGAGAGGAATGTATATTCTATGGTTGATGAATAGAGTATTCTATAGCCATCAGGTCCAATTGGTCAAGTGTTGAGTTAAAGTCTGGAATTTCTTTGTTAGTTTTCTGCCTTGGTGATCTGTCTAATGCTGTCAGTGGGATGTTGACATCCTCCACTATTATTATGTGGTAATCTAAGTCTTTTTGTAGGTCTAGAAGTACTTGTTATATAAATCTGGGTACTCCAATGTTGGGTGCATATATATTTAAGATCATTAAACTTTCTTTTATAACTGAACCCTTTATCATTATGTAATGCCCTTCTTGGTCCTTTTTTACTGTTGTTGGTTTAAAGTCTTTTTTGTCTGATATAAGAATGGTGACTCCTACTTTTTTGTTTTGTTTTCTGTTTGTATGATAGGTCTTCCCTAATCCTTGATTTTGAGCCTATGGTTGTAATAACATGTGAGATGGGTCTCTCGAAGGCAACAGATGCCTGGGTTTTGCGTTTCTACACAAATTTTCACTTTGTGCCTTTTAAGTGAGGCATTTAGGCCATTTACATTCAAGGATAATATTGATATGTGCGATTTGGGTCTTATCATGAAGTTGTTAGCTGGTTTCTTTGCAGTTTCTATTGTGTGGTTGTTTTATAGTGTCTCCAGGCTATGTACTCACATGTTTTTGTGGTTGTAGGTATTGATCTTTTATTTCCATATTTAGAACTCCCTAAGGATCTCTTGTATGGCTGGTCTAGTGGTAAGGAATTCCCTTAGTACTTACTTGTCTGAAAAAGATTTTATTTCTCCTTCACTTTTAAAGCTTAGCTTGGTGAAATATAAAATTCTTGGTTGAAATATGTCTTCTCTAAGAATGATAAAAATAACCCCCAATTTCCCCTGGCCTGTCAGGTTTCTGCTGAGAAGTCCTCTGCTAGCCTAAGATTCCATTGATATGTGATCTGACCTTTCTCTCCAGCTGCCTTTAATATTTTTTCTTTAGCATAACCTTGGACAGTCTGATGACTATATGCACTGATAATGTTCATTTTGCATGGTATCTCACAGGTGTTCCTTGGATTGCTTATATATGGATGACTACCTCTCTAGCAAGAATAGTGAAGTTTTCTTGAATTATTCCATCAAATATAATTTCCAAGTTGTTTACTTTTTCTCCTTTTCTCTCAGGAATGCCAGTAATCTGTAGGTTTGGTCACTTTACATAATTTTATATTTCTTGAAGACTTCATTCATTTTTTAAATTCTTATTTACTTACTTTTGTCTGACTGGATTTGTTTAAAAGACTGGTTTTCAAGCTCTGAAATCCTTTCTTTTGCTTGGTCCCATTTATTAATAAAACTTTCAATTGTATTTTGAATTTCCTTAAGATAGTTTTCAATGCCAGAAGCTCTGATTGATACCTTTTTAAGACGTTCATCTCTTCATTTCCTGGGTTGCTTCAGAAGTACATTTGTATTGATTTTCAACCTCATCTTGGATCTCATTGAGCTTCCTTGCAATCCTTATTTTGAATGCTTTATCTGTCATTTCTTAATTTTCATTTTCGTTAGGGAACATTGATGTAGAGTTAGTAAAATCCTTTGGTGATGTCACTACATTCAGATTTTTTTTATGGTGCAAGAATTCTTGCATTGGTTCCTTCTTATCTGAAGACTCTGGCACTTATAATTTTTGTGATAATTTTCTTGCAAGTGGGATTTTTTATTTTTCTTTCTTCCCCTATATTATTATTATTTCCCTTTCACTTCCACTCCTCCATAGGGGTTCTTTTGGCTTTGCTTCCACAGCCCTATGCACTTCTTTCTGTAGGTTTTATAATGGGCTGTGCAGTTTTTCCTAAATTCAGTAGATAGTGTTTGTGGGTAAGAGCCAACTGCAGCCAATATGGCTGTGTATATACTTGATCCTTGTTTACTGGCAGAAGTTCTCTTTTGTCTCAAGCAATGTCTCAAATGTCTCATTGTGGAATACATAGTGGTCTGAACTCCCTGCTCAGCCCCAGGAGGTCAGTGGGGGCCACAAAGTGTGGGGCCAGATTGGGCAATTCCACCTACAGGTCCCCCAATGGCAGGCAGACATACTAGTGCCAAGGAGAAACCAGTGGGTAGCTGCCAAGCACCTAGAGGTGTGCCTAAGTGTGGAGCTGAGAAACCTCCTCAGCCCCGAGTTCTGTGCATAGGGATTGGGGGTGGCCTAAACTCCTAATCCAGGCGTGTGGGTGCTCCAGATGTCCAGAGATCTACGTGGGCATGGTGTGAACAGAGGACCCCTGCAACAGGATCTCTGCACAGGAGTTTTGGGGTGACTCGGGCTGCTGATCCAGGCAAGCTGGTGCTCTAAATATCTGGACATTCTGCTTGGGTGCAGAGCAAAGTGCACTGCACCATGACTTATGTCCAGGTAGGGTAGGGTGGCTCAGGCTACTGAACCAGAATAATGGGTGTTCCAAATGTCTGGGGATCTGCCTGGGCATGAAGCTGAGAGGGACTCCCTGCACCAGGATCTCTGCACAGGAAGGGTGGGGTGGGACAGACTGCTGACCCAGGTAAGCAGGTGCTCTGAATGCCTGGAGATTTGCCTGGGTGTGGAGTGGAGAGGTCCTGATGCACCACAATCAATGTCCGTAACAGGTTAGGAAGCTCAAGCTGCTGGTCTAGGCAAGCAGGTGTTCCAAATGCCTGGATTTCTCTCTAAGAGTGAAGTAGTGAGGGCCAAACTGCATTTCTCTCCAGAAACATACTGTGTATTGTTTTATCCAGGCAGTAAAACACAATCTCAGCGGAGCAGATCTAGGCACCCAGCAATGTCTCATGCAGATCAGTTCTCAGTTGCCAAGCTGGCCCTGGCTGCAAGTCTTGCCACCTGGGAAAAACTAGCTGCAGCAGCTCTCCTCCCAGCCCAGGCTTGTAATAGGAGAGAGCACAATTCCAGCAGCTACTGCTGAGGCACTTTCCACAGTTCTGACTGTAGAAACCCTTACCCTGCACCAGAGCAGGAGCTCCAATCTCTAGCCTGAGATTAAAATGTGTGTGCAGCCATGCTGTCAGGTTGCCAAAGAATGGCTGACTTTGTATGCACCCAGATTGAAAATGGCATTCTGCTCTTAGCCCTGGGTCTTGGAAAATGTTTGCAGTTCTTCCTAATATCTTTCTTTCACAGCATTCCCAAGCCTCTCCCCAAGTTGACTTCAGGGCTTGGGAGAAGCAAACTGCTCTCCCTCGGCATGGGTCACTTGGATCTACAGTGCAAAGGTGAATTACAGAGAAAGACTCTGCCTCTCTCATGTACTGGGCTTCACTCACTTTTATCAGCCAGACGCCGTTACAGTGGCTGTTTGCCAGTGTTCTCCTCTCCAGGATCAGGTGTGTCCTTCAAGATTCTGGTGGATTCTCATTTTCCTTCTTGAATTACAGTTCACAGAGTTCATCTTTATGAGCCATCTTGCTATTTCCAAGTGCCTGAGACACACTAAAGGCCTTTAATCTGCCCTCTTGGAAAAACAACAACAACAACAACAATATTCAATTGGTCTTAACTAGAAAAGAGAGAAACAGAATTTTGATCTCATGGCTGATTGATTACTCTAATGATTCTAATAGCTAGCATTACTCAATGTGCTGAACAATTTATAAATATTATCTCACTTAATCCTCCAAAAAATAATGTGATTATGTGTTATTATTCTAATTCTGCAGAGAGAAAAAAGTTAAGAACTTTTCAAAACAATAAATAAGGAAGTCAGGGACATTGCCAAATTCAAAAACTCCAAACTCATACTGGTCACTACTCCATTTCTCTCTTTCTAGAAATGTACTTTGAATTGTTTTAACCAGATAGTAAGAGAGGGTAAGGCTACATATACAATTTTTTTTTGGTAAAAGCCTGGTATGTTGAAGGTACAGTACAGGTTTCCTCACCGTAAAATTCAGTAATATACAGATAGTCAGTGATGGATGATGAAAAAATTTCTTGTTCCATCAGTTTCTGCATTAATACATCTAAATGTGAGGTTTCTCAAACTTCCCACTTCCTGTCTGGG
The DNA here is from genome assembly GCF_000001405.40 of Homo sapiens. Classification (NCBI taxonomy): domain Eukaryota; kingdom Metazoa; phylum Chordata; class Mammalia; order Primates; family Hominidae; genus Homo; species Homo sapiens. The sequence continues at coordinate 97,096,415 of NC_000011.10, read as the reverse complement.
CTCCCACTTTCAGCAAAGGTGACCTCAAGACAAATTCTAAGATTAATGATCTCTCTACTTTCTTCAGCTCTTTTCTTCTGATCACATAATAGAGGCTAATTTGCAAGACCCTCCTTAGCATCTTTAATGCCTGTAGGATTTTGAAATTAGCAGCAGGTCTAAAATGAGAGGAATGGTGTGTGTGTAGGAAAGGGTCAATTGGAAAATGTTTCCCATTGTCTAATTTTTCTATCTGAATATCATGTGCCTACTATCCTATATATAAAATATATACTTAACATCAAAGAACATGATGTCTTCATTCAAAACTATTGTCTTCATACTATTCCTGATTTTATGTTGGATTTTGTGAAGTATCTGCTTGAAACCTTGGTTCCATTTGGGAAATTCCTCAATGTGCTAAAATGAAATATAACTCAGATCTGTTTTATTTTTTGCACAGACTTTGAAAATGCTGCTAGTGCTGACTTCCTGATGGCCACAGTCTCATTAAAATTTTTGATCACCACAGTCTATACTTACCAGTTAGTCAAATGGTGTGAAGTTCATCCTTCTTGAACACAAAAATATTAAGCAAATCACGAAAAACTAGCACACTATTAGAAGAACTAGATTAAACAGCAAGACAACCAGACAGGTTCTCTGAACACTGACTTAAAAGAAGCCTGAAAATATTACCAGTACTCTCAAATTACAGAAAAGGATTTGTTAGAATAGAGTAAAACGTATGTCTCAAAAGCATATTTCAGTAGGAAATTGAGGTAGGAGATGAGGCCAATTAGTGACCTGCTTGCAAAACAATTGGTATTGGCTACTCTTCCTTCTACGAAAAGTATTCTGAGGCCAGGCATGGTGGCTCATGTCTGTAATCCCAGCAGTTTGGGAGGTCGAGACAGGTGGATCACTTGAGGTCAGGAGTTCAAGACCAGCCTGGCTAACATGGTGAAACCCTGTCTCGACTTAAAATACAAAAACTAACTGGGTGTGGTGGCACATGCCTGTAGTCTCAGCTACTCAGGAGGCTGAGGCAGGAGAATTGCTTGAACCTGGGAGGTGGAGGTTGCAGGGAGCACTCCATCCTGGGTGACAGAGTGAGACTCTATCTAAAAAAAAAACAAAAAGAAAAGAAAAGTATTCTGAAATGCTATAACTTTGGTTTTCCTAAATTGTGGAGAGGAGGTTGAGTGCTATCACCAAAGCCATCTTCATCCTCCATTCCTCATTCTGTTCTTACATTTTCATTTAGTAAATGTTAAATAAATATTTGATGATTATGTATTTGAAGTTGGAGGGCAGGCTGGGGCAATTTACTAGCCTACTAAAGACACCCATAGGTTTCTTTTGTCCCTCTAGAAAGAACAGAATGCCAACAATATGACAAATGCCTACCCTTGTACTGGCAGAATGAGGAAATTAAGTGCATTATCAAGGTCCCTGAAATCAAAAGCTCCTCACCCATTAGGAACAAAAGCACATAGTAGTCCTTTTTCCCATCCCAAGCTCATTAAATCTGTTAATTATTCATAATTTAGTAATAATTGTCATCCAAAATGTCTAATTATTTTCATCTAATTTCCAAGGAAATATTAAAATGCAGGAAGAGAGAGAAATGTAGATCTGAACTGCTACAACTCTAGATCAAACCTCACCATTCATTGCAATAATCTTCTGAAGGTATCACTGCTTCTACTTCACCTGATAGCCTCATCCTCATGCAGTAGCCACCATGATCTCAAGCTAAATCATCCCACATCTCTCTGAAAAGCAAAACAAAACAGAAACATCAATATCTCTTTATCTTCCCTGAATGCAATAAAAAGTTTTACTTCAAAATATTGTGACCTACGTGGTCTGCTCCAACTATTCCAGCTAGCTTCCACTTTCAAAACCCCTCAGGCAATAAACAGACACCAGTCTTTGTGTTTAGGTATGTCCTACGTTGTATGTTCCTGTGTGCTTTCAACATATTGAAGCTCTTCAGAGCTCTCATTGAACTCCAGTGAGCTCCCGTACCTCTGCAAGCATCTACTCAGACAATGTGATTTTAGTCTTACTTTTGCATGAGCACCCCTTATCTCTACACATGATCTCATTTGCCTGAGAAAGAGGGATAAAAATCCTAAGAATGTTCTAAGCTTTTGCACCACTCTTCTAGAACTTCCCCATTTGTAGTCTCTGCTTATGGAGGCTGAAAGGGTATTGCTGGTGAAGCTAAAAAGAACAGTGTGGCCACCTCCTAACAAAGAAGCATCTACTAGCTCTGTCTAGAATATGGGAGCACTTACTGTGTTTTTTTATATGCTTTGGGACATCAGTCAATAGAAAACTTTTATTCAATATCCTTCGACAGTAATTATATAGCCGTAGCGAGTCTTAGTTACCTAAATTTCTACATGCAGCATCATTTTGTAGTCAGCCAGGGAAGGTAATCTATCCAAGTGACACATTAATCGCCCCAGGCTCAGAGACATTAAGCAATTTTCTTTAAATCACAATTCATTTGTGCCACAGAAAGTAAGATTTGAATTCAAATTCTGGCTCCTCCATTTACAGTTTATGTGACCTTGGGCAAGCTTTTTTATCATCACTCATCGCAAGGGTTGTTTTCTTAAATGTAAATTGCAGATATGATACAAACTTAACTGGGTATTGTGAAGATGAAACAACATTACCCTTGTAAAGTTCCTGGCTATGGCATATATATAGTAATAAAAGAGCTACTAATTACTGAATGCCTATTATGTACAAGATACAGTATTAGGACTTCATATGTTACTACATAAGTCTAGCAGTTTATTTAATAAGTCACCTAAACCTTTAATTTTACATTTACACAAATGTGGTTACACTATGGAGTGGAAGGAATTTGTTTTCAAAACCACACAGGAAGACTTCATTGGCATTTTACTTTTGTACTGTCTATTTGGGCTACTTTTCTAGCCTAACAGATAAGAATTAATCCTCTTTTCAAAATAAGGACCCGTGGTGAAAAAATTAAAAGCAATACTTTCCAGCAATCACTAAGTTGCTCCTATGAATAACCTTGTGGAAAACATCTTTATTTTCTTCATTTTACAGATTATGTGAGTTTTAACTTAGAGTGACTCCTTTCAAGAACTTGCAGCTACTAGATGGAACACACAGGTAATAAGCTTATGTCTTCTTACTCTAAATCTTTACCATTGTGGGAATATTTCTTGTGAAAACTAGACATTAGTGTAGACTGTCTCCTCTTTTTATAAGTAACTATTTCAACAATAAATTTTGTTAAGCTATCTAAAATGTCACATATTTGACTTTTTGCTAGAGTAACCTGTTCACTGATCAGTGTACAGAGTCAAGGAGGCTGTGGTCTGTAACTCAGACCCTATTCTTTCTTACTAGCAGCACAGGGCTGCCATCTGCCAGTAATACAGGAATTTGCAGTTTTCCTAATTGTAACAACACAGTAGAAAAAGAAATGCTTTTCACTGATTTGCTTTTGGGCTAAATTTCTAGAAATGTGTTGAAACGTTGAAACTATTCAACCCACACCCAAATTTGAGAATCTCAAAACAATTAGGCCTAGAGGACATTTCTACCTAAACCAAGCCCTAGAAATTTGAGAACAAAATTTGTTTCTCCACATGATCACAATCTTGAAAAAGATTACCTTAGAAATTTCATATACGAAGGGAAAACTAAAAAGAAAAGCACGTTTCTGAAGGAAGCATGCAAAAATTTACTGTAGCAACTAGACCCTGGTCTAGGTCGATTAGACAGAGATTCAGAACTTCCCATGTGAAATAATCCCCTATGATGGCTGACATAATGACACAAATTGGGTGGTTTAAACAACAGAAATTAATTTTCTCACAGTTCTGGAGGTTGGAAGTTCAAGATCAAGGTGCCAGCCAGTTTGATTGTCAGTAAGGGCTCTCCTTTTGGCTTGTAGAAGACTGACATCTCTACTGTGTCCTCACATGGCTTTTCCTCTGTGCACACTCAGACAAGGGAGAAATCTCTGGTGTCTCTTCCTGTTACTATAAGATCACCAGTCCTGTTGGATTAAGGCCCCACTCTTTTGATCTCTTTGAACTTTTATTACCTTCTCATAGGTCCTATCTCTAAATAGAGTTATATTGGAGATAGAGGCTTCAACATATGAATTTGAGGGAATTCAGTCCATAATGATGGCATAAACTAATGTCAAAATAAGTCCATGCCTTCCTAATGTTAACAAGTAATACCTATAAAGCATTTAATAGATGCTAAGCTCAATTTCAGATGCTTTACATTAATTAATTCTAATGAAAACTCTATGAGGTAGTTAAAATTCTTACTATCTCTTTTATAGAGAGAGAAATAATAACATAAATGTAAAGTACTTTTCCAAGAGCCAATATTCAAACCCAGGCAATCTGGAAGGAGTCCATGTTATTAAATTATATGTACTGCCTTTCTGTCCCTAGATGCTTTAGATGTAAACAGAAGAACATGATCAGATAAATGGTACCTAGGCTATACCCTCCAAGAAGCAAACTCTGAAATAGAGTGATGTTTTAAAAATACTCATCCAGGTAGCAGGGTAATAGAAGTCTATTCCTAGATTTCTCATACTGCTTATGATTTTTGAAAAGTCAGTTTACTTTTCTGGGCCTTAGTTCTTCATTAGTAAAATGAGACAAAGGAGAAAACAATAATTAAACACCCCTGCCAGACTAAGGTGGTGGTGATTGAAGGAGTGTATCTTCAATGATGAAAGTGATACAAAATCATTTAAACTGGTGTTTTCCATCTCAGAAGCTTCTCCTTCCAGGATCATCCCTACCCAATAGCCTTTATGGATCTGAAGTTTTCACACCTCTATGTACTCTATAACAAGGTTTTATGAAGAATTGTCTAATTACCCTCTCTCATTTACAACCCAGGAGAACTCCCACTGGGTGTGACAAGACACAAGACAACAGAAAATCTAATTCAAAAGCTCCCATGTGTTCATTGAAAATGGAATTTCAGAGTCCTGCTTTATCCTATATAACCTACAACACTGTAAGACAAACAAAAGGGAAAATATAGTGCTGTGAAGGGAATGGAAGTACATAAAATACAGGGGTGAGTGATGACAGCATTTCGTATATAGTGTTGAATCCATGTTTTTGTTTGGATTTGTTGTTGAAATTTTTGTTTGTTCTTGTTTTTGGTCTATATATACTCCTACAAAATAATTCAACTAAATAAAGAAATCAAATTGTTGTTAGTATGCTAACTTCTTCCATAGACGAATCTTCTTTGCTTCCATTTCCATAGAGAAATGTTATTATTAACATTATCAGATCTTTCTTTCTAACAGCAACAAACAGCAAAGCTTTACCTCTTTAACATACAAATAAAGCATGTGTTTGAAAAAAATCAATCAAAATCAGGGCCCTACGAACAAGTAAATCATTAATCCATCTTGTCACCATGATAGAGACTGTTCGATTAACCTTTTGGTGCCATTATGTCTTAAGCCCAATTATTATGATTAATTTATTTAGCATTAATATTCTCACCACTAAGCCCAAGCGCTGGACAATCAGAGGTTAAAGAAATCCAATAAAATATTATAAAATATTCTTAAAGTAATAAATAATCCACTGGGATATCCAAGTGTTGATGAAACAGTACAAAATCTGTCTGATTTAAGTTAGATTACAAAGAAACCTTCCAATCTTAATTTGTTTTTTCACAACAGCAGTGCAAATGGCAAAAGTATGTGTTGAAAGGGCACCTGACTATTCCAAAATGCTTACCACTTACATTTCTCAAAATACACTTTATTAATTTGCATTTATTTTATACAAATATATGCAAATAGAATTTAACATAGTCAGAGAGAAAATATCAATAAAAATAACTAATAGAGGCAGAGAGTAGAATAGTACAGGGGCTGGGTATGTGTGAGAAATAGGAAAATGATGGTCAAAGGTTACAAACCTTCACTTTCCTCCAGTGCAACCATATCTTGCACTTGTCCTAGAAAAAAGTAGGAGAAGGCTCCTTCAAAAGGAGAACAGGACTGGATTCTTTCAAATTATTCCCTTGATGGCTTTGATATTGCAGGGGCAATGGAATACAGTTAAAAAATCACCAGATGGACAAGTTCTGGGGATCAAATCATAGCATGGTGACTGTAGTTAATAGTACTGTATTGTATACTTGAAATTTGCTAAGGGAGATCTTAAATGTTCTCATCATACACAAAATGATGTGAACTATGTGAGGTGATAAATATGTTAATTAATATGTTAATTAAGTGGATAGTAATAATTTCACAGTGTATGCATATATCAAATCATCACATTGTACACATTAAATATATAAAATTTTTATTTGTCATGTATACCCCAATAAAGCTGGGGGCTGAAATAAGAATAACTAAACTAATACTACAGTTAAAAAATTAAGATCCATGTCTATGAAGCTAGATAATGATTTCAAGATCAATTAGGGCTTCCACAATTGTCACTGGTATAGGAGGTCAAGTTTTTTGTGCCATTCCTTAGATTTGGTATTTAAACTAAGCTGATCTTGAAGTGTGATAGATTAGCTCTTCAGTTCACACGTAGTTGTAAAACATTCAATTAGAGCATAGAACTCTTGTTGAAAATAATGAATGGTGAGTTTGCAACTGTATTCCATTGCCCCTGCAATATCAAAGCCATCAAGGGAATAATTTGAAAGAATCCAGTCCTGTTCTCCTTTTGAAGCAGCCTTCTCCTACTTTTTTCTAGGACAAGTGCAAGATATGGTTGCACTGGAGAAAAGTGAGACAAAAGTGGAGTTAATGGTTTTGACTGACATTTCTATTATGTGTCCAGTATGAAAATAGGCACGAGATAAAATTACATATAAAACATGGACATTAAACGATATCAGTTATCCACCTGGTTAATCATATATTACACAATGAACTTATATCTACATGTTATGTACAATAATATCCATATATATATGGTTTCATAGATTAGGGAAAAATGAATTTTGCTGGTGGTGGTCAGGAAGGACTTACAAAGGAGCGAACATTTGAGAGGGCATGAAAAGAGAAGCAGACTTTTGGGTGGCAGAAAAATTATAGTGCTGAAATATCCCAAACAGAAGACATATCAGGGAAGCAAGAAAGTCCACAGTATATTGTGGGATGGCAAATAGTTTAGTGTTTGAAAGTACAGAGTGAATGCTGAAGTGGAGAGTACTAGGACATGATGCATGACTGTGAAGGGTCATACTAAGAAGTTTAAAATGCATTGTGTAGGCAAAAAGGAATGCCCCAGATTTCCATGTTCCAAGGTTTTTTGTTTGTTTGTTGTTCTTGTTTTTTTTTGTTTTTGTTTTTGTTTTTAGCTCTATGTGGATTTGGGAAATATTTTTTGCTCTTAATTTTATATTGTAACTCATTCTTTCAAAAAACACTTATTGAGGAATTATTATTGGTATAATGCAAAGGTAGATGAATATGTGCAGTATTTAATTATTGCACTAAAGGAGCTTAATATCCTGAAAAAAAACAAGACATGAGAATGAAAAGTTAGGCCCAAGGAAAGGTAGTTTACAGATAAATGCCAAATCAGAAACAAAAGCAAATAAATTGAGTTTGTCTTCTGTAATGTCCAGTTCTCACTTATTTTAACATCTTTCCAACATACATATATAGTGGAACCCAAGAGGCAACGGAAGACGTAAAACGCTTGGGAAAGCTAATAAAGTCTACAGAATAGATTCTCATCCCTATCTCACCCCTATTTCATATGTAGAGACATTCCAAAATTTGACGGACAATATTTTTATTATTATAACCTGATCACATCAAGTTTTAACAGACGTAAGGTATACATGAACATTTTGTATTTTAGAGTAATGATCTGGATGCCAAATATAAATCAAACTTTCTTACCTCTCTTCCTTCCAATGAATCACTTGACTGTCTAATATTCATGGGTACACAGCCTATCAGCTCCTGTCCTCTGGAAAACATCTATTGTTATCTGTTCCTCCTTATCTCTTTGCCCTTTATTCCTTAAGTTCTAAACTGTTTTATTTATTTTAAATTGATTCTACTCAAGATCGACTCTTACTGTTTTTTTTTTTTATTATACTTTAAGTTTTAGGGTACATGTGCACATTGTGCAGGTTAGTTACATATGTATACATGTGACATGCTGGTGCGCTGCACCCACTAACTCGTCATCTAGCATTAGGTATATCTCCCAATGCTATCCCTCCCCCCTCCCCCGACCCCACAACAGTCCCCAGAGTGTGATATTCCCCTTCCTGTGTCCATGTGATCTCATTGTTCAATTCCCACCTATGAGTGAGAATATGCGGTGTTTGGGTTTTTGTTCTTGCGATAGCTTACTGAGAATGATGATTTCCAATTTCATCCATGTCCCTACAAAGGACATGAACTCATCATTTTTTATGGCTGCATAGTATTCCATGGTGTATATGTGCCACATTTTCTTAATCCAGTCTATCATTGTTGGACATTTGGCTTGGTTCCAAGTCTTTGCTATTGTGAATAATGCCGCAATAAACATACGTGTGCATTCTAGTTTTTCCATTCCTCATTTTGCCTTTCCCTAAAACCTCTTTCCTCATTTATAAGCACAAGAGTGAAGTCACCCTTGATATTTTCTAGCAGCACTCTTTTTAGTTTTGTTCCCCTTAAAGACAACTAGCAGAGTTGGAAAGTGACTAAACTTTCACATGCAATCATAAAACAAAGACTAAGGGAAAAGTGATGTGGTAGTCTAGTTTCAGAAGACGTCATATCCTAGAAAGACAGAAACTCCATTACAGGATCAATGAGCAAAATGAGGAAGAGGTAAGGTCAGTGAATATTCTGAAGCCATTAATGGTCTACAAGTCAGAACCTGAGAGCTAACCTCGTAGTAATGAGCTGGCTCAAGAGAAAGACCAGATAATGCATTATCATCAAGTAAATTTGGAAATATTACAAATGACATTTTGTCAACTATATGCTCTATCTTATGCCTTACAGCATGTTATACTTCTGCGCTGAGATGTGTTATACTGGTGATTTTGTACATTAAGTATTTTTGTTATTATATAATTAAAAAAATATAGACAAAAATTTGTCTTTTGAGAAATTCAAGACACGCTGCCCTTCATGAAATAAAAAAGTTACAACAAAATTATTTCTCTGCAGTTTTTCTTTGAAATATGTAACCAAATATGGTAAATACAATCATAATGAAGCCACGAAGGGTTGTTAAGTGTCCAATTCATGAAGTTTCAGCATGCCCGAAGCAAACTTTTAAAGAAAAGTACACATCCACACATATGTGCACAGGTTTCAAAGAAAAGCAAATGTGGCAAATGGTAAATATTTGAGAACCTTGTGAAGCTATGTGGTTGTTCATTATAGTATTATTTCAGTTTTCTTCTAGTTTTGATTTTTTAAATAAAAACTAAGAGAAAGAGGAAGGAAGGAAGAGAAGTAGGGACAGAGGTAAGGAAAGAGGGAGGGAGAAAAGGAAGAAAAGAGGAGAGGGTAGGAGACAAGAGGGAAGGGGAGGGAAGGGGACAGGGAGACCAGGTACCTTTCCCTTCTCCCCACCTGCAGCTTCCAAGGCCCATCAGAGAAGTTGAACCCCTGTGGTTCAACTTCAAGCTATTCTGTGGTAGTTTGTTTGAGTACCTGTCCTAGCAAGGAGCTAACAGACAGCCTTCTAACTAGAAAAGGTGGTTAAGAAGTCCAACAACTGGGACACCAGCTGAGAGACTGACAAAATGCAAAAAGCAAAGATGTATATAAACTACTCTTAGTAGCTAGAAAAAAATCATGATGATGTGAAGGAAGTTCTCGTTATAATAAAAGCTTGCAAAGCTACATCATTGTCCAGAGTGACCGCAGAGGCCTGTTATTTTCATGTGCACAAGATGAAAAAGACAAGAGTCATACACCCATAAAACTCACAGTAAAGTTGCATTCAGTGGCCGTGGCAGATCATTACATCGTTATGAACTTACATGCTTTTCAGACATAGAGGTTCTTTGATATTCCTGTGAATAAGCTATTGGCAGAATTTATAATCTGCAATGAACTGAAGTACCTATTGCAGAATGAAGAAACTGTAGCATGCTTTCCTCTAACGTAGTTATAACCAAGTGGTTTTATTAATTGTGGACTAACTAAATGCAGAATGTGCTTCAATTCACAAAGACTAAAAGAAAACCTGAGAAGTAGAAAGGATGAATTTGGTTAGTGATATTATTATTTAATTTCTTAACTGCAAATTCTTCAGATGAATGATAGAGTAGGTGAAGTGTCAAGATATCTGAGAGTTGTTGCAAACAGGAATAAAAAAAGGAAAACAAATATGCTGAAATATTTATATTTTAAATACAGAATGAACATTTATATTCTTCAATCTAGAATTTTAAATATAAAATTTAAAATTTTTAATATTTAATTCTTAAATCTATTTGGCAAATATACACGTTCACTGTGCTATTCTTTAATTTTCTCTTTATGTTTGAAAAATATTTTGTTAATATATTAAAAGAATAAAAGTAATGTTTTTATGGAAATAACTTAGCACCTATGTAGTTTAAGAATACATAAAAATGACTTAGGCTAGCTTGTGGTCCCACCATATATATTTGTTTGCTTATTTTTTTTGTTTTTTCAACAGGTTTTTAATGGTTCATGTGCCTCTAAATTTTAAACCATATTTGTTAATTTTTGGTTTGGTCAAGAGTTGAAATATTTTTGTGTATTTCTACAGCTCTCAGTTATTCCTGTTTTTTGGTGGTTCTTAAAGTCAGCACTTCTTAAAAAGTTTCCCCCCTGCTGCTATTTAAACTGATTTTTATGTTACTTCAAATTAAATCCATTATTTCTAGTCTATCAATTTTCCAACTTGAATCAGCACCCTTTAAGAGTCCCATCTGCTAACTATTGTAAAGGCAGTTTTTTATTCTGTCTTTTTCTCTTCTCTGTCTTGCTTTCTCAGGTGCATTGGAAGCTCCATTCAGACATTCTGGACTGATCTCTGCCTGCCAGAAACGTCTTGGCCATTCTGTGTAAAATCCAGCATCAGGCATCCTTTTACTCCCACAAATGTACTATCAAACTTATAAATGTTCAAATTTCGAAGAGTTTTCAAGCCAGGACTAAAAGTTAACTCTCAAGAGAGACATGAAAAGTCCGTCAGATATAGATACAATAAAACAGAGCACAGTAAAAGGATATAAGAGAGTACTAATTTAAAAATCCCTTGGTCTAGAGCCAAGAGAATTACAATCAGTTTATCTCTGGCCTAGATGTACTGTGCCACCTTGACCAAGCCACTACACACTACTTCACTCAATTATAAAATAGGAGAAATGAATTAAATAGACTCTCTGGGCCATTTCAACTGGATTTTACAATAATTTTATTGTGTTATGTTTATAAAATTAATCTATCCACAAATTGTAGAAAATTTACAAACTATTTAACTTATAGAAAGTAAAATAAATGTTACTCATCAAAACATCTTAGAATTACCCACTTTTAAATTATTGGTGTGTATCCATCTAACTGTGTGTTTGTGTGTGTGTGCACGCATACAGATATTAATATGAACAGATTTATACTCCAAAATGTATGTACTATATGTATGTATGTTTTGCATGTATAAAATTGTATGGGCTATATGTACAAAATTGGTACATACAGCACACTGAGCTTTGTATTCTACTTTAATAATACTCTGATCATTTTTCCTATATTAATATTAAATATCATTTGAAAACTTGTCTTTTAATGACCATATTGCATAATCTGAGTGTGATAATATATACCCATCAATTTTGGTAATCTACATTTTAGTTTTTAAAGGAGAATGCTAAAGAAATACCTCTATAGTATATAATATTGCTTTCTATTTCACGGGCTACAGATTTTATCATAACAAGTTTAACGTCACCAGCATCAAAGTTCTAGTATTTCTTATAGCATAAGAAAAAATAAAAGAGTCTTTTCTGGAAGTATTTCTCTCTTGAAGAGATAATACCTCACTAGATCTTGGAAAGCAATAAAACAGAATTGTGTGTGTGTGTGTGTGTGTGTGTGTGTGTATGTGTGTTTGAGACAGAGTCTCGCTCTGTTGCCCAGGCTGGAGTGCAGTGGCGTGATCTCGGCTCACTGCAAGCTCTGCCTCCTGGGTTCACGCCATTCTCCTGCCTCAGCCTCCCAAGTAGCTGGGACTACAGGTGCCCGCCACCACGCCCAGCTAATTGTTTGTATTTTTAGTAGAGACAGGGTTTCACTGTGTTAGCCAGGATGGTCTCAATCTCCTGACCTTGTGATCCGCCTGCCTCAGCCTCCCAAAGTGCTGGGACTACAGGCGTGAGACACTGCGCCCGGCCTTGTGTGGTTTTAAATAGCTTTTTCTTTAAAAAAAAATTCTCAATGAATAATTATACCTTTATTAGTAGAGCTATCCTTTTATTTTGCTTTTGGAAAACAACTCCCCATGGTTTTCCACATTTCTGAACAATTTGAAAGAATTGGCAATAATGGCCTTTGTTCCAGATTATACAGTCAAGTTTGTTTCATTTTGTTTTGTTTTTGCTTGTTTTTGTTGTTGCTGTTAGCTATTCTGTATAATAAAGACAATTCTCTGAAGAACAAAGTTCAACAAATTTGCTTGCAACCTATTATAATAAAAGATTTGGTTCTCTAAGCTTGACATTCTTCAGCTATGTTGCAGCATCTACTTGGGCCTCTCTACTTTGGCCTGATGAGGGAATTGGGAGTCAACAGGATCTGAAATGAATATGAATCCCATGTTGATCCTGTGCCGTAAGTAATGGAGTCCTTTTTCTTTGATCCAAAAATTTTTTTGTCTTCTGCCAGAATCCATAAAATTTTTGTGGCAAGCTAATTTCTTAGCTATTAAGTAGGGTAAACTCTCAGGCCCTTCATACTTCTTAATTGTTGCCTTATAAAAACAGAATGGTCATAATGAGGACTAAGCTTTCACAGACAAAGGAAGCTAAGGTCATTTTAAAAAACAAGTCACTAGTCTAGGGAAAGTATTTATTTTGTACTGACTTCTGACGTTATAGTCTTACTGCTAAATATTATCATTAATAACTCACCAGAAAGTAATCATTGCTCAGGACTATTCACATAGTATTTGCATATAGTAGAAAATATTTCTTTTTCACTTTATTTTCTACATCCTGTACAATTCATTAAAGAAGCTTTACAAATTAAAAAAAAAAGCAAACTAGGAAGCTTCCAATTTAACTTTAGGCAAATGGTCGGCATATTTATAATTCAAAAGACAATTATAATTTTCAAATCCACATAACAATTTCTTCAACATATTTAAGAGATGTGATTTTTTTTTTTTTTTTTTTTTTTTTTTTTTTTTTTTTTTTTTTTTTTTTTTTGAGACGGAGTCTCGCTCTGTCGCCCAGGCTGGAGTGCAGTGGCGCGATCTCGGCTCACTGCAAGCTCCGCCTCCCGGGTTCACGCCATTCTCCTGCCTCAGCCTCCCGAGTAGCTGGGACTACAGGCGCCCGCTACCACGCCCGGCTAATTTTTTGTATTTTTAGTAGAGACGGGGTTTCACCGTGTTAGCCAGGATGGTCTCGATCTCCTGACCTCGTGATCCGCCCGCCTCGGCCTCCCAAAGTGCTGGGATTACAGGCGTGAGCCACCGCGCCCGGCGTGATTTTTGTTTTTAATAGAAAGTAATAAGGCTTTCCCTGAAAGATCTATCTCCTATGACATTAAACTATTACCTTCTTTCTTATAAAGGTGATTCTGAATATAAAGAAGCTGTTATGTTCCCTGAATCTAATTTACATATGTGTGCATATTTGTGTGCATGTATTCCCATAGATTGCTCATCACCTATATCATTTATGCTATTCAAATATTTGTAGAGCAATTATTACAGCCTTCATAAGTGATTACATAGCTAGTTTATTTGGAATTAGATTCTTTACTCTCGTCTTACTAATCCAAACTCTGCCCTCTAGAGTTTTAAATGTCACCATAAGTTTATCTATGAAATCTTTTCCTTGGGGTTAAGCATATATGGGATCTTCACCACAGCAACCTCAGGATCCAGGACCAAAGCCTTGATACCATTCAGCAAAGGCTGTGGGTTCACTGTTTGTAGCAACCTATTTAGAGCTCCATTGAACTGTAAAGCCCATCTGTCCTAGCACCTTCAATGAAAGGTAATGAAGCTGACTCTCTTGAGTTTAAATGATTTGCCCAATTCACAAATAGACTATTTCAGGATTATCTCTGCTATTTGATGGCAAAAATTGAGGGAAAATTCACTATCAATTTTGCTACTAACAGGCAAATTCTTGAGAAATTCGGAAAATGTCAGCTTCATGAAACCTATAAAAAAAGTAGAAAGTACATAACAATTGCCATGATAATTACACTGGAATTTACGTGTATATAATGACATACAGATTCTTTCTAAAGCAAAAAAAATCCAAAGGGCCATTTAAAAAGTCATAAGCTGAAATTTACAAAAACCTAACACAGAAATTAAAATTTTATTCTGTGAAAATATATTTCAATAACAAATTATCACAGCAAAAGAGAAGTTTGTTCTTAATAGGTCAAAAAAGTACTTATTTACATTTTTTCTTGCAAAGAAAAACTTAAAGTATATTTGCAGATGTCAGGAGTTACACCACAGATCCTAATTTGAGATACACGTTATGAAGGAGATCTAGACATGTCAAAACTAAAAGGGCAATAACCGGTCATACCTACTGAAATAAAAGTCCATATAGCATAGAAAAAAGAGCTGTCAATTCTATTGAGAGTTGGGGCGATCAAGAAAGAGTTCATAGAGAAGCTGATTTTTAAGCTAAGCTTTGAAAGACGAGACAGTATTGACAGACCATCAGCATGTTTGAGTGGGGCCCCCTAGATAAAAGAGGCACCAAAATAAATGTGCAAGGGCATAAAGTCATGGACCAGCAGCATGCTTAGTAAATGTGTGGCTTCAGTTTGGCGCATCATAAGTGCTGAGAGGGAAAACATGAAGGAACAAGTAGGGAGAGAAGGCAAACTGGAGAAAGATGACCGTAACTTTGAAGGTGAAAAACATGTAAATAGTTTGGTAAGGAATATTAACCACTGGAATCAGAGTAAACACCTGTCCTGGTTGATCTGGAACTTCAGGGTTTCCAGGACACAGGACATCAATGTTAAAATAGGGAGAGTCCCAGGAAAACTGAGACAATTGGTCACTCCAACTATAATAAGAACAAAAATGTGTTTGTCATGGAAGCTATTTTCTTAAACTTTGTTTCAATTAATCTATAGTATATTAAATTTTCTGTTAATAATACATCATTAGCTTTGCTTTCACATTTTGGTTAATGGAATGGGCTAAGTTCAATTTCTAAATCTCAGCCAATGTATTACCATAAAAATACTTTAAAAAATATTTAATCTGAAACTTAATGCAAAATTCTTCTCCATTCCTCAATTTAGGTAGAGCTATATGTGGCTCCAGAAATTCAGGAGAATTGGAGCTCTTCTTCCTGCAAATATCTCCATCACCTGCCCCACCCTCCTTAGTAGCTAGTTCCTCTAATGCATTGGGCAAATAGGAAAGGCAAGTAGAAAAAAAAAGGTTCTGCTTGTCGGACTAATATTGAAATATTTCCCTTAATGAGCAATCTCGTTGTCTAAGGATTCCTACTTTTTATCCATCAACAACTTCTCTATGTCAACAGGGGTAGCTTCAACAAGCCGTTGCACTAGGTCAGTCCTCTAGTTTCTATGTGATGTACTAACTGTGCTATTTCCAGCTACTCTCTCTGGATCAGGCACATTGCATTATCCCTTAGCCAGATACCATTCAGATTTGTGGTAGCAAGCATAGAAATGTACTTGTAAAACAGTCTCCGGCATCAGACAGCAGGGATTCAAAAGCTCATTTGACTAATTAGCAATTTAAGAATTTACTTTAAAAACTCTGCGCCTCAGTTTCCTCAACTGTAAAATGAGGATAATAATAATGTTGTTTAGTACTCATTAGAGTAGTCTAAAATACCATATAAAATAGACCCAATGTGTAAGAGTTCAACCACAATAAAAGTTCATTTCTTACTCACATAGTAACCCAGAGCAGTAATGCAAATTATGAACCACAGTTCTTATGGTGAATCAGAAAATGTGTTTCTTCCGACATGTAGCTTTGTCACCCCCCAGGGACTTATTCTTGATATACCAGCCTGCTAAGGGCAAAAGCAATTGAGGAGAATGCCTATCAGCTTCTTAAGGGCTTTGGCCCAGAAATAGCATGTATCTCTCCCTCTCACATTCCATTGGCTAGAAGCTGTCACAAGGCCACACCTAGCTTTATGGATGACTGGGAAATGGCATGTATAGGATTGTTTAGAGATTTAAATATTATAATAAACAAGGCTTTGAAGAATGCATGATGGCACAGTTTAACTGCTCACTAAATAATAGCTACTAATATTATTGCTTTTATCACCAGTGACTTTGCTGTTCCACTTAAAGACTTTTCTTTCTAGCAATGTGTATAAGAGGCTGTCAGTTTGAAATCTCAACAGCAGGAATGATACTGAATAAGGAAGAGAAAATGATGACTTCGCTTTATAAATTCTAAAAGTAATAAAAAAACTTAAGGAATTTAATATTCATGAATTCATACTCTAAAAGTAACTTCAGCATCTTTTAAAATAAAATCATGCTGGTAATGGAAAGATTTTGTGCAAGTTATCCACATCCTTTAAGCAGTGACACTTCCCACTTGGAACATGTGTGGCAAGATGTAGTCTTGGATTTAAGACCATTTCTTTTGATAGCTGTGTATGAGCATTTTTCCCTGGCTGTGCAAGATTAATTGACACTGATCACTTCCTCTTAACAGTGAACTAAAGTGGTTTGTGGATAACACTGCTGGGCTCTCCACCCTTTCTGTATGACCTTCAACACAGTGAAGCCAACTCCTCTCAAACTCTTTCATTAATGAGCTGATGTTTCCATTTTGAGTGTATCTTGCAAACTCATTATGAAACTTCTGCCTGGCAGTCTTAGAAGTTAATGGACTTCAAATTACTATTCAGCAAGGTGTTTACATTTACAAAGCACCAGGTAGCCACCTTTATGGCTTATATTTAATTAATAAAATTATATTCCCAAATAAACAAAGCATGTAAGCATGCCAATTATATTAGTTGTTAGCTGAAGCTAGTAATTGTCTCCTCACTGGGGAGCTCCCCATTTTTATTTCAATAATTCTCTTTCCTGACAGAAAATAATCCCTTAC
This sequence comes from Homo sapiens, assembly GCF_000001405.40. Classification (NCBI taxonomy): domain Eukaryota; kingdom Metazoa; phylum Chordata; class Mammalia; order Primates; family Hominidae; genus Homo; species Homo sapiens. Next base: position 97,079,091 of record NC_000011.10, on the reverse strand, counting down.
AAAATTACCAGGTACTGTATGACACCAACTAAGCTAAACGTGCACAATCCGCTTTATCACTCTTAATGTGACTATAAAAATTTCAGACAAAGAAGCTAAATGAAGCCATTTTCTAAGTTCTTGACTTTTATATCATAATTTTTAAGTGTTCAGGATAGACATGCTATTCTCCAAAATCCATAAGCAGATATCAAGTTTGAAGTATATGTTCCCTCACTGAAGAGATTTTACTTCTTTTCTTTCATCCTAAAACTCCCTTTACTAGTTAATGATTTAAACATTTTTTTAGTTCCACGGCAAGTTTGACTTTCTAATGACATATTATTTTCTGTCTATTTGAGTTGTGGGAAAAATTGCAACAAAAGAATATTATAGAAACTTGAAAACTCATTAAAAAATGAGTCATTACTTTCATTCATTCAAAAAAAGTTAATTGGACATTTACCATGCAATGAGACACTGCTGGATGCAGAAATACTGTGTGAGGGTAGATAGGAAAGTCTCTGCCCATGTAGTTTACTGAGAAGACAGAATGGATACAACTTAGCTAGGAAAAGAGAGGAGCAAGGATGTTTGATATAGGAGAAAACTTTTGTAAAAACGTTGCTGTGGCCCAGAGATTGTGTGCCTCAGGCCTTTGAAAGGAATACCTCTGTGTATATTCAGAGAGAGAGAGAATACTTATCTTTCTGAAACAGATATAGACTATCCTGGGATATATAACACTTCATAAACTCTGTAGGTGTATTTAAAGTTCATAAATATTATTCTAAGATAATATTCAGATAATATATAAAAAACATAGAAGTTATTAGTGGCAATGATTACTTGCTAGTTTTCCAGTCTTTTCTGAGCTCTTCTGGGAGGCTATAAGATCCAACACTTAGAGAACAATGAAAGTATGGCCCTAAAATTCACTCTCAAAGGGAAAACAGGAGAGAACCTTGAGTAAGTTTCCCTTACTGTGCAGGCCTGCAGGAAGGGAACAGCAGCTTCAGGAGTGAGGGTGTGGAACTCTGCCCAAACTCTTCTCCTCTCTCCCCTTTGGATAAAAAATCTCAATCTGCGAGGGTAAGGAAGGACAATATCAAACCAGTAAAACTGATATTGTGTCCGGAATTGGTGGGTTCTTGGTCTCACTGATTTCAACAATGAAGCTGCAGACCCTCGCGGTGAGTGTTACAGCTCTTAAGGTGGCGCGTCTGGAGTCTGTCCCTTCTGATGTTCAGATGTGTTCAGAGTGTCTTCCTTCTGGTGGGTTCGTGGTCTCGCTGGGCTCAAGAGTGAAGCTGCAGATCTTCGTGGTGAGTGTTACAGCTCATAAAAGCAGCGTGGACCCAAAGAGTGAGCAGTAGCAAGATTTATTGCAAAGAGCAAAAGAACAAAGCTTCCACAATGTGGAAGGGGACCCGAGCGGGTTGCCAATGCTGGCTCCGGCAGCCTGCTTTTATTCTCTTATCTGGACCCACCTACATCCTGCTGATTGGTAGAGCCGAGTGGCCTGTTTTGTCAGGGCGCTGATTGGTGCGTTTACAATCCCTGAGCTAGATACAAAGGTTCTCCACGTCCCCATCAGATTAGTTAGATGCAGAGTTTCGACACACAGGTTCTCCAAGGCCCCACCAGAGCAGCTAGATACAGAGTGTCAATTGGTGCATTCACAAACCTTGAGCTAAACACAGGGTGCTGATTGGTGTGTTTACAAACCTTGAGCTAGATACAGAGTGCCGATTGGTGTATTTACAATCCCTGAGCTAGACATAAAGGTTCTCCACGTCCCCACCAGAGCAGCTAGATACAGAGTGTCGATTGGTGCACTCACAAACCTTGAGCTAAACACAGGGTGCTGATTGGTGTATTTACAATCCCTGAGCTAGACATAAAGGTTCTCCAAGGCCCCACCAGAGCAGCTAGATACAGAGTGTCGATTGGTACACTCACAAACCTTGAGCTAAACACAGGGTACTGATTGGTGTATTTACAATCCCTGAGCTAGATATAAAGACTCTCCACGTCCCCACCAGACTCAGGAGCCCAGCTGGCTTCACCTAGTGGATCCCGCACCAGGGCTGCAGGTGGAGCTGCCTGCCAGTCCTGCGCCATGCGCTTGCATTCCTCAGCCCTTGGGTGGTCGATGGGACTGGGCACCATGGAGCATGGGGTGGTGCTCGTTGGGGAGGCTCGGCCGCATAGGAGCCCATGGAGTGGGTGGGAGGCTCAGGCATGGCGGGCTGCAGGTCCCGAGCCCTGCCCCGCGGGAAGGCAGCTAAGGCCCGGCGAGAAATCAAGCTCAGAGCCAGTGGGCTGGCACTGCTGAGGGACCCAGCACACCCTCCGCAGCCACTGGCCCGGGTGCTAAGCCCCTCATTGCCCGGGGCCAGCAGGGCTGGCTGGCTGCTCCGAGTGCGGGGCCCACCAAGCCCACGCCCACCCGGAAATCCAGCTGGCCTGCAAGCACCGCACGCAGCCCCAGTTCCCGCTTGCGCCTCTCCCTCCACACCTCCCTGCAAGCTGAGGGAGTGGGCTCCAGCCTTGGCCAGCCCAGAAAGGGGCTCCCACAGTGCAGTGGGGGGGCTGAAGGGCTCCTCAAATGCCACCAAAGTGGGAGCCCAGGCAGGGGAGGTGCCAAGAGCAAGCGAGGGCTCTGAGGACTGCCAGCACGCTGTCACCTCTCAATATAAGTGCCCCTTTAATACTGCAGATTTGTTATAAAGTTTAAATATAAAAATAGGAAGATATGCAAGAATAAGCTTCAAGTTATATGAAATGCTATAGAAATTTAATATAATGCTATCAAAATATTTCATGAATAAAAGAATTTATGAATTCAGGAGACAATGTAGCAGTAAATCAAAGAAGTTACCTATTTTGAAAAACTGCATTTCCAAAGGAGGGAGAAAAACTGAAAAATACCTATTCTAATCCTGCTTTATGCAGTCACTTAAAGTAAAACTGGAAGGGAAGACATTACTCTTCAGGACTTCACCCCCTTTTCTTTAGAGTAGTTTACAACAGTTTTCATAGCTAGCATTAATTAGATAATTTTAAGTAAAAATTTTATGTAATTTTACTTAATTAAGAGAAAGACAAAATTCTTAATGTTTCAGCTAGATAAATTGTCATAAAGTAAAAGCAAACAAGAAAACAAACAAACAAAAACCATGTAGCCAACTCCAAGATTAAGAAACATAAAACTACTGCCAGCAGTTTCTCTGTCAGGAAAGAGAAACTACATCACACTGTGAAGTTTTGGGGTGGCTTGTTGCACAGCAGTGGAAAACTGAAACAGACTGTACTCTTTTGAGCCATGGACACTTTTGGCAGTCTAGTGAAATTTATAAACCTTTCAGAATAAGGTTTTCAAACTCATAAAATAAAATACATAAGAAATCAATTATATTGAACTACAGTTATTAGATTATAATATATTTTGTACTATAGGAAATTTGTGCATCTTTACTAATACACTGAAAAACAAAAACCAGGGCCAGTCATGGTGGCTCACACCTGTAATCCCAGCACTTTGGGAGGCCAAGGTGGGCAGATTACTTGAGGTCAGGAATTTGAAACCAGCCTGGCCAACATGGTGAAACCTCATCTTTCTACTAAAAATACAAAAATTAGCCCAGCATGGTGGTACACGCTTGTGGTCCCAGCTACTGGGGGCTCTGAGGTGGAAGAATCACTTGAGCCCGGGAGGCAGAGGTTGCAGTGAGCTGAGAATTTACTAAATCAGAATATGCACTTAAAAAAGATCCCTGAAGGAGGGGCCAAGATAGCTGATTAGAAGCATCTTAGTAACCCATAAGTCCAACTTGTGCCATCTGGAAAGGGGGGCACAATCTCTTTCACCATTATCCTGATTTCTAACACCGTAAATTAGTTTTGCCATTTGTAAACTTTATATATCTGTAACCATATGTATATAATCTTCAATCTGACATTTTTCTGTTCCGGTTAATTGTACATAGTTCAGTTTCATTATTATAGTAGTCTATCATGTGAGTATATCATAATTTAGGTATGCTTTCTACTACTGAAAGACATTTGTATTGTTCCAGGTTAGAGATAATTCAAATAGCACTGTTAATAAAATTCTTGTCTATTCTTGTCTATTCTGTGGATAAGAGTTCCTATTACTCCACGTCCTTGCCAATATGTGTAGTACTATCACTTCTTATATTGTTAACCATTTTTGTGTGTGTTTGGAGTAGAATCACTTTTTGGCATTAATTTGCATTTCCTTGATGACTAATGATTTCGAGCCTCGCTAATCAAAGTATGGCCTATTAAGCAACAGCATCTACGTCACCTGAGAGCTTGTTACAAATGCAGAATCTCAGGTCCCATCTCAAATTTACTAAACCAGAATATGCACCTTAAAAAGATCCCTGGGGCAGGGGCCAAGATGGCCAACTAGAAGAATCTGTGTTCCTTGGCTGTCACAGAGAGGAAGGAAAATGGTGAGTAATCTCAGCATCTTCAACTGAAATATCCAGGTTCTTGCACTGGGACTCACTAGGCAATCGACTTGATCCACAGAGAACAAAGAAAAGCAGTGTGGGGCGATAGCCCACCCCAGAGTGGCATGGAGCCAAAGGAACCATCACCCCCAGCCAAGGGAAGCAGTGAGTGATTGTCTGACCCCGCCCAGGAAACATGCTTCTCCCACAGATCTTTGCAATCTGCAGATCAGGAGATCCCCTCGTGAGCCCATCCCACCAGTGCCTTGGGTCTAATACACAGAGCTGTTTGGAATCTCAACAGAGTGGTCACTCAGGCTCACACAAAGACCTGGGAGTTTTACAGTCTCCAGCCCGAGGAATCTCAACAAGGTGAGAACCCCCTCAGCACATTCCCTAGGAAGGGGGCTGAATCCACAAGAGCCAAGCACCATCCTTCTGGGTCCCACTTCCATGGCACCTCACAATATAAGACCCACTGGCTTAGAATTCTAGCTTGTCAGCACAACAGGCTGGAGACTGCCTGAGATGGATGAGTTCATAAGCGGTGGGGTGACCACGACTTCTGTGGTTAGGTTGACTCAACCATTCTAGCCTGCCAGCTCTGGGGAGTCTAGGCAGTCCTGGTAATGAGGAGTCCCCCACAAAACAACCCAGCTGCTATGCCAAATCATGGCCAGACTACTTCTTTAAGTGGAACCCCAATCCATCCCTCTTCACTGGGCAAGGATGTTAAAACAAACAAACAGAAGGCAACATTAACAACATTAACAAAAAAAAAGACCTCACATAAAACCTATTCAAAGGTCAGCAACCTCAAAAATTGAAGACAGATGAGCCCACAAAGATGAGAAAGAATGAACAGAAAACCACTGAAAACTCAAAAATCCAGAGTGCTTCTTTTCCTCCAAATGACTGCAATACTTCTCCAGGAAGAGCACAGAACTAGCCTGAGGCTGACATGGCTGGACTGACAGAAGTAGCCTTCTGAAAGTGGGTAATAATGAACTTTGCTGAGCTAAAGGAGCATGTTGTAACCCAATGCAAAGAAGCTAAGAATCATGATAAAACAATACAGGAGCTGATAACCAGAATAGCCAGTTTAGAGAGAAGCATAACTGACCTGATGGAGCTGAAAAACAAAACATGAGAAAATTATACGGCAATAACAAGTATCAATAGCAGAACAGAGCAAGTGGGGAAAGAATCTCAGAGCTTGAAGACTATCTTTCTAAAATAAGACAGACAGACAAGATTAAAGAAACAAGAATGAAAAAGAACAACAACAACAAAAAACTTCCAAGAAATATGGGATTATCTAAAAAGATTGAACCTTACTGGGGTACCTGAAACAGATAGGAGAATGGAACCAAGTTGGCAAACAAATTTCAGGATATCATCCAGAAGAACTTCTCCCACCTTGCAAGATAGGCCAACATTCAAATTCAGGAAATCCAGAGAACCCTAGAAAGATACTTTATGAGAAGACAAAGCCCAAGACACATAATCATCAGATTCTCCAAGGTCAAAATGAAAGAAAGAATGTTAAGAGCAGCCAGAGAGAAAGGCCAGGTCACCTACAAAGGGAAACCCACCAGATCTCCCAGTGGAAACCCTATAAGCCAGAAGACATTGGGGACCAATATTCAACATTCTTATAGAAAATATTTTCACCCAGTATTTCATATCCAGCCAAACTAAGCTTCATAAGCAAAGAAATAAGAATCTTTACAGACAAGCAAATGCTGAGGGAATTTATCACTACCAGGCCTGCCTTGCAAGAGCTCTTGAAAAAAGCACTAAATATGGAAATGAAAATCCATTACCAGCCACTACAAAAACACACTGAAGTACACAGACCAGTGACGCTATGAAATAACCACATAAACAAGTCTGAAAAAAAACGAGCTAACATAATGATGAAAGTATCAAATTCACACATAACAATATTAACCCTAAATGTAAATGGGCTAAATACCCCAATTAAAAGAAACAAAGTGGCAAGCTGGATAAAGAGTCAGGACCCATTGGTATGCTGTCTTCAAGAGACCTATCTCACATGCAAAGACACACATAGGCTCAAAATAAAGGGATTGAGGAAAATTTTCCAAGCAAATGAAAAACAGAAAATAACAGGGGTCACAATCCTAGTTTCTAATAAAATAGACTTTAGGCCAAAAAAGACCAGAAAAGACAAAGAAGGGCATTACATAATGGTAAAGGGTTCAATTCAACAAGAATAATTAACTGTCCTAAATATATATGCACCCAATACAGGAGTACCCAGATTCTTAAAGCAAGTTCTTAGAGACCTACAAAGAGGCTGAGATTCATACACAAAAATAATGGGAGACTCTAACACCCCACTGAAAATATTAGATGGCTCATTGAGACAGAAAATGAACAAAGATATTCAGGATCTGAACTCAGCTCTGGATGAAGTAGACCTGATAGGTATCTACAGGACTCTCCAATGCCAAAAAACAGAATATACATTCTTCTTATCACCATATAGCACTTACTCTAAAATGGATCACATAATTGAAAGTAAAATATTCCACAGCAAATGCAAAAAAAAAAAAACTGAAATCATAACCTGCAGTCTCTCAGACCACAGTGCAATCAAATTAGTACTCAAGATTAAGAAAGTCACTCAAAACCACACAACTACCTGGAAATTAAACAACTTGCTCCCAAATGACTTGTGGGTAAATAATGAAATTAAGGCAGAAATCAAGAAGTTCTTTGAAACCAATAAGAACAAAGAGACAACATGCCAGAATCTCTGGGATGCATCCATAGCAGTGATAAGGTGGAAATTTATAGAAATAAATGCCCACATCAAAAAGCTAGAAAGATCTCAAATTAATAACTTAAGAACACAACTAAAAGAACTAGAGAACAAAGAGCAAACAAAACCCAAAGCTAGCAGAAGACATGAAATAACCAAGATCAGAGCTGAACTGAAGGAGAAAGAGACATGAAAAACCCTTCAAAAACTCAAAGAATCTGGGAGCTTGTTTTTTGAAAAAACTTATTAAAATACATAGACGACTACCTAGAATACTAAAGAAGAGAGAAGAATCAAATAGTCACAATCAGAAATGATAAGGGGGATATTACCACTGACCCCACAGAAACACAAACAACCATCAGAGAATACTATAAACACCTCTATGCACATAAATTAGAAAATCTAGAAGAAATGAATAAATTTCTGGACACATACACTCTCCGAAGATGGAAACAAGAAGAAATTGAATCCCTGAATAGAACAATGACAAGTTCTGATACTGAGGCAGTAATAAATAGCCTAGCAATAAAAAAAAAAAATCCCAGAAGCAGATGGATTTACAGCTGAATTTTACTAGATATCCAGAGAAGAGCTGGTACCATTTCTACTGAAACTAGCCCAAAAATTAAAGAGAAGAGACTCCTCCCTAACTCATTTTATGAGGCCATGATTATCCTGCTAAAAAAGAAACCTGGCAGAGATAGAACAATACAAAAGAACTTCAGCCCAATATCCTTGATGAACACTGATGCAAAAATCCTCAATAAAATACTAGCAAACTGAATCTAGCAGCACATCAAAAAGCTTATCCACCATGATCAAGTCAGCTTCATCCCTGGGATGCAAGGTTGGTTCAACATATGCAAATCAATAAATGTAATTCATCCCATAAGCAGAACTAAAGACAAAAACCACATGATTATCTCAATAGATGCAGAAAAGGCCTTCAATAAAATTCAACATCCCTTCATGTTAAAAACTCTCAATAAACTTGGTGTTGAAGGAACATACCTCAAAATAATAAGAGCCATATATGACAAACCCACAGCCAATATTATATTGATTGAGCAAAAGCTGGAAGTATTTTTATTGAAAACCAGCATAAGACAAGGATGCCTTCTCTCATCATTCCTGTTCAACACAGTATTAGAAGTTCTGGCCAGGGAAATCAGGCAAGAGAAAAAATAAAGGTATTCAAATAGGGATCAGGAAGTCAAATTATTTTTGTTTGCAGATAAAATGATCCTATATCTAGAGAATCCCATTGTCATAATCCAAAAGCTTCTTAAGCTGAAAAGCAAATTCAACAAAGTCTCACGTTACAAAATCAATGTGCAAAAATCCCAAGCATTCCTATACACCGAAAACAGGCAAGCAGTGAACCAAGTCATAAATGAACTCTCATTCACAACTGCCATTAAAATAATAAAATACCTAGAAATACAACTGAAAAGGGAAGCGAAGGACCTCTTCAAGGAGAACTACAAACCACTGCTCAAGGAAATCAGAGAGAACACAAAGAAATGGAGAAACATTCCATGCTCATGAATAGAAAGAATCAATATTGTGAAAATGGCCATACTGCCTAAAGTAATTTATAGATTCAATGCTATTCTCATTAAACTACCATTGACATTCTTCACAGAATTAGGAGAAACTATTTCAAAATTCATATGGAATCCAAAAAGAGCCGAGATAGCTAAGACAACTGTAAGCAAAAAGAACAAAGCTGGAGGCATCAAGTTACCTGACTTAAACTATACTACTATAAAAAGCTACAATAACCAAAAGAGCTTGGTACTGTCACAGAAACAGACACATAGACCAATGGAACAGAATAGAGAACTAAGAAATAAGACCACATACCTACAATCATCTGATCTTCAACAAACCTGACAAAAGCAAGTAATGGGGTAATGATTTTCTATTTAATAAATGGTGCTGGAAGAACTGGCTAACTATATGCAGAAAATTGAATCTGGACTCCTTCCTTGAATCTTATACAAAAATGAACTGAAGATAGATTAAAGACTTACATCGAAAACCCAGAACTACAAAAACCCTAGAAGAAAATCTAGGCAATTCCATTTAGGACATACGCATAGGCAAAAATTTCATGATGAAAACATCAAAAGCAATTGCAACAAAAGCAAAAATTGTTTAATAGAATCTAAAGAGTTTCTGCACAGCAAAAGATGCGAACAGATGACCTACAGAATGGGAGAAAATTTTTGAAATCTGTCCACCTGACAAAGATCTTATATCCAGAGTTTACAAGGAACTTAAACAAATTTACAAGGAAATAAACAACCCCATTAAAAAGTGGTCAAAGGACATGAAGAAACACTTCCCAAAAAAAGACACTGACGCAGCCAACAAACATATAAAAAGAAGCTGAAATCACTGATTAGAGAAATGAAAATCAAAACCACAATGAGATACCATCTCATGCCAGACAGAATGGCAATTATTATAAAGTCCAGAAACAGATGCTGGTGAGGTTGCAGAGAAAAAAAGAATCCTTTTATACTGTGAGTGGGAGTGTAAATTAGTTCAACCATTGTGGAAGACAGTGTGTCGATTCCTCAAAGATCTAGAGGCATAAATACCTTTTGGCCCAGCAATCGCATTACTGGATACATACCAAAAGGAATATAAATCATTCCATTATAAAGATACATGCACACATATGTTCACTGCAGCACTATTCACAATAGCAAAGACATGAAATCAACCCAAATGTCCATCAATGATAGACTAGATAAAGAAAATGTGGTACATAATTCAGCATGGAATACTGTACAGCCATAAAAATAAATGAGATCATGTCTTTTGCAGGAGCACGAATGGAGCTGGAAGCCGTTATCCTCAGCAAACTAACACAGGAAGAGAAAAACAAACACTGTATGTTCTCACTTATAAGGGAGATCTGAACAATGAGAATACATGGCCACATGGAGGGTGGGGTACCAACACATACTGGGGCCTGTTGGGGGTGGGGGAGCAGCAGGAAGAATAGCTAAGGGATGCTGGGCTTCATTCTTAGGTGATGCGATGATCTGTGAAGCAAACCACCACAGCATATGTTTACCTATGTAACAAACTTGCACATCCTGCATATGTGTCCTAGAACTTAAAATAAAAGTGGAAGGAAAAAAAAATAATAAAAACTTAAAAGATTCCCAATTGATTTGTATGCATGTTTATGTTTGAAAGCCTCTGAAGCAGAGTATCTTTATATATACTTACTGGAAAATTGAATACTATGTTTCAATAAAGGTATTTTAAGTTCTCTTTCTTTGTGAGAATCTACAAAGCTGAAAAGAGTATCACTCTCAAACTTGTAGCAAGAAAAAAGCCAGGCAAAATGCAAGTACAAAACTTTTCTTGAACCAAAGAATTGAATCAAATATTTGAAGTATCAGGCAACTAATTAACCTAAAATCTGTAGAAAGAAAGGTGCCCACAGGGTATGAGCACTTGTTTACCTGGGGCAGGCAAAAACAGACACTGGTAAAAATAATTCAGCTAAAATAGTTGATGAATTTCTGAGGCTTAGTATGGGCTGACAAGAGAGTATGAAGGCCTTGGTAATTTTACTATTTACTTTATTGTACACTGTAGGAACTCTAGTACAATGTTGACTTGAAAAGATTTACGGCAGGCATCTTTTCACCATCTAAGGTACAAACTTTCAATAACTCACCATTGAATATGAAGTTTGATATTGGATTTTTTGTATATACTCTATACCAGATTGAGGAAAGTATATTATACTCCTAGTTTACTAATTTGTTTTTGTTTTTGCCTAAATGACCATTGAATCTTATCAAATGCATTTCTAGTGTATATCAAAATATTATATATAATTGTTCTTTTTATATTATTGCCATGAATTACAATACAGGTTTTCAAATGTTAAATGACAATTGCTTTCTTGAACTGAAGCCATAAAATGTTGTGCTATCGTTTTCATACATTATTGGATTTGATATCCTAACATTTTGTTTAACAATTTAACACAAATATTGATGAAAATAGTGGTATACAATCTTATTTTCTATTAATAATCTTGTCAAAATTTGATATGAATGTTATGAAAATCTCTAAAACCAACATGAAAATGATTTTCATCCTTCTTTTCTCTTGAGAATTTTTATGTTCCTTAAATCTTTGGAAGAGTTTACCATTTAAGGTGATGTGATCTGAATTTTCTATTTGGAAAGGTTTTAAAAATAAATATGAGGTTTTTAATAAATATAAAATATTCAGATTTTCTCTTACTTCTTGTGTCATTGCTGCTACATTGTATTTCACTAAGTTTTTCCATTCCAACAAAATTTTTAAAACTATTAGCTTAAAATTATTCATAATATTCTCTCATCTATGTAATATCTGTACTTTCTTTTGAAGGTTTTTTTTTTAATTTCTGGTGTTGGTAATTTTTGTGTTGTTCTAATTTTTTTTTGTCCATCAGCTTTGCTAAATATCAATCAATCTTATTAATCTTTTAAATGAACCAATTTGAGATTTTTTAGATTCTGTTTATATTTATTTTCAGTTTCTTTTAGTTCTGTTCCTAATTTTCTTATTTTCCACTTTAGCAATTTGGCTTTGATTTGTTATTGTTTTTCTACCTTTGGGAGATGGAATTTAACTTAAATGATTTTCAACATTTTTCTTTTTATATTTTATACATTTAAAACACCACATTTTTATTAAGTACTGATGTTGTTCCATCTCCCTCGTTTTGATATCTCACATCTTCATTATCTACCATTTGAAACTGTTTTCTCATTTCAAGTCCTTCTGCCACCTGGAGCTAATTCAAAGCATACTGTTTAATTTCAAAGAATTTAGGGACTTTCTAATTATCTTTATGTTCTTGGTCCCTTTACTAATTCCATTGCACTAGGAGAAGAGACTCTGAATTGCACTGAGTATTATTTTTATGCCTTAGCAGATGGTCAGTTTTCGTAAATGTGTCATTGTTTACTTAAAAATAAATTGAAATTTGTTGTTAGGTTTAGTGTTTTATATCTGTCACTTAGAGTGTATTAAATATTTTCAGCTTTGCAATTTGATAGAAATAATTTATTTTTTATAAATTAATAACTGTACAAAGTTATGGGATTCATGTGAAATTTTGTTACATGTATATAATGTGTAGTGATCAAGTCAGAGTATTTAGGGTTTCATCATCAGAGTACAATGAATTTTTGCCAACTATAGTCACCGTACTCTGCAATCACACATTGAATTGATTCCTTCTAACTGTATGTTAGTACCCTTTAACCCACTTCGCTCCATCCTCCCTCTCTCCCCACTCACCGTTCCCAGTCTTAACTATCTTTTTACTCCCTTCCTCCATGTGATCAAGTATTTTAGCCACTATACATAAGTATGAGAACTTCTCATATTTGTCTTTTTGTGTCTCACTTATTTCACTCAATATACTGACCTCCAGTTCCATCCATGTTGCTGCAAATGACATGATTTCATTCTTCTTACACCCAAATAGTATTCCATTGTGCATACTTACTATACATGCATTCACTGATGGATTCTTAGATTTCATATCTTTGCTATTGTGAACAGTGCTGCCATAAACATGAGAGTATAGATATCTCATTGATACGTTGCTTTTTTTTCCTTTGGGTAGCTAGTAGTGGGATTGTTATACTGAATGGTAATTCCATGTTTAGTTTTTTGTAAAATCTCCATACTGTTCTTCATAGTGGATGTACTATTTTACATTCTCACCAAGAGTGTGTAAGAGCTCCCTTTCCTCAGCATCACTACTACCTGTTATTTTCGGTGTTTTAATAACAGCCATTCTGATTGAAGTTACATGATATCTTACTGTGTTTTTCTTTTGAATTTTTCTGCAGATTAAAGATGTTAAACATTTCTTCAAATACCTATTGGCCATTTGTATGTCTTCTTTTGAGAAATGTCTATTCATGTCCTTTGCCCACTTTCTTGATGGAATTGTTAATTTCCTGTTCAATTGTTTGTGTTCCTTGTACATTCTGGATATTTGTCCCCTGTTGGATGAATAGTTTGCAAGTATTTTCTCCTATTCAACAGGTTGTCTCTTCAGTCTTTTGTTTATTTCTTTGGCTGTGCAGAAGCTTTTCAGTTTAGTTAAATCCCATTGGTTTATTTTTGCTTTTGTTGCCTGTGCTTTTGAGGTCTTAGTCATAAATTCTTTATCTGGATCATATCTGGGGGAGTTTTCTTTAGAGTTTCTTCTAGTACTTTTATATATTCAGGTGTTATATTTAAGTATTTAATCCATTTTAAGTTGATTTTTATATATGGTGAGAGATAGGGGTCCAGTTTCACTCTTCTGCATATGGCTATACAATTTTCCACCACCATTTATGCAAGAGGGTGTCCTTTACCCAGTATAATTTCTTGTTAGTTTTGTCAGAGATCAGGCGACTGTAAATATGTGACATTATTTCTGGGTTCTCTGTTCTGTTCCATTGGTCCATATGTCTATTTTTATAACAATACAATGCTGTTTTAGATACAATAGCCTTAGAATATGTTTTGAAGTCAAATAATGTGATGCCTTCAGTTTTGTTCTTTTTGCTCAGGATTTCTTTGGTTACTATGGCTTTATTTGGTTTAACATAATTTTTAGGACTTTTTTTCTAATTGTGTGAAGAATCACATTTGTATTTTGATAGGAGTTGCGCTGAATCTTCAGATTGCTTAGGACAATATGGTCATTTTAATGATAATAATTCTTCTAATTCATGAGAATGAAATGTTTTTCTATTTGAGTCATCTCCAGTTTTTTCAATGAATGTTTTGTAGTTTTCCTGTAGAAGTCTTTCACCTTCTTGAGTAAATTTATTCCTACGTATTTTATTTTTGTAGCTATTGTAAATGGCATGCAAATTTTTTTGGCTAGATCATCATTGACGTATAGAAATGCTACTGAATTTTTGTACATTGATTTTGTTTCATGCAAACTTACTGAATTCATGTGTCAAAACTGAGAGTCTCTTGGTGGAATCTTTAGATTTTTCTAGATATAAGTTCATATCATCAGTAAAGAGGAACAATTTGACTTCCTCTTTTCCTGTTTGGAAGTCATTTTTTTTCTTTCTTTTGACTTAATTCTCTGGCTAGGAATTCCAGTACTATGTTGAAATAGGAGAGGTGAAAGTGAGCATATTTGTCTTGTTCTAGTTCTGAGAGAAAATACTTTCAACTTTTCCCCATTCAGTATGATATTAGCTGTGGGTGTGTCATACACGACGTTTCTTATGTTGAGGTAGCCTCCTTCTATCCCTAGTTTATTATGAAAAAAGCAATTTTATCAAGCACTTTTTCTTCATCTGTTGAGAAGATATGGCCTTTGTCCTTTACTCTGTTGATGTGATGCATCATATATATTTATTTACATATGGTGAACCATCTTATATCCCTTGTATAAATCCTACTTGATGATAGGATACTATCTTTTTGATGTGAAGTTGGATTCAATTTGCTGTTATTTTCTTAAAGATTTTTGCATCTGTTTATCACGATATTGACCTACAGTTTTCTGGATTTTTTTGTTGTGTCCTTGTCTAGTTTTGGTATCAAGGTATCAGGGTGATGCTAGCCTTGTTGAATGAGTTAGGAAAAATTTTCTCCTCTTTGATTTTTAAAAATAGTTTCAGGAGAATTGATACTAGTCCTTCTTTGTACATTTGTTAGAATTCAGCTGGGAATACATCCGGTCTGGGGATTTTCTTTGTTAGAAGGATTTTTATTACTGACTCAATCTTGCTACTCATTATGGGTTTGTTCAGGAGATCAATCTCTTCCAAATTGAATCTTGGGAGGTTGTGTTTTTCCAGGAATTTCCCCATTTCCTCTCGGTTTTCTGGTTTGTGAGCATATCATTGTTCATAATAATCTCTGTTAATCTTTTGTATTTCTGTAGTATTAGTTGTAACGTCTCCTTTTGCATTTCTGATTGTATTTATTGGATCTTCTCTCTTCTTAGTTTAGCTAGGGGATTATTAATTTTATTTGTCCTTTTGAATAAACAACTTTTTATTTTGTTGATCTTTTATATTGTTTTTTGGCCTCTCTGTTAATTATGCTCTGATCTGTGCTATTTCCTTTCTTTTGCGTATTTGGGGTTTGGTTTGTTCTTGTTTTTCTAATTCTTTGAGATGCAAAATTCAGTTGTTAATTTGTGATCTTTCTACTCTTTTGATGTAGACATTTAATGCAGCAAACTTTCCTTTTCGCATTGCTTTTGCTCCATCCCAGAGGCTTTGGTATGTTGCCTCTTCATTTTCATTTGTTTCAGGAAACTTTTTGATTTTCTTCTTAATTTCTTCATTGAACTTTTGGTCATTAAGAAGTGTGTTGTTTCATTTTCATGTATTTGTATATTGTCTAATGTTCCTCTTAGTATTGATTTCTATCTTTATTTCCTTAGTCTGACAAGATACTTGATATCATTTCAATTTTTTTTAATTTTATGACACCTGATTTGCATGTAGCCTAACATATGGTCTATCCTGGAGAATGATCCAAGAGCTTATGCAAAGTATGTATAGTCTACAGTCGTGAAATAGAATGTTCTGTAAAGGTCTGTTAAGTCCATTTGGTCTAAAGTCCAGTTTAAATCCAATGTTTCTTTGGAGAATTTCTATCTAGTTAATCTAATACTGAGAGCAGGACTCCCCACTGTTATTGTATTCAATCTATCACTCTCTCTTTATATCTAGTAATATTTTTTTATGAATCTGGGCATGTCCGTGTTGGTTACATACATATTTAGAATTGATTAATCCTATATCTGGATTTCTCTTTATAATTGTATAATGGCCTTCTTGTCTTTTATTTTTTACTGTTTTTAACTTAAAGTCTGTTTTATCTGATGCAAATTTAGCTACTACTACTTGATTAGGTTTGCTTTCATGCAAAATTTTTTTCCTATCCCTTTTCTTTCAGTCTATATGTATGTTTACTGATAACGTAATTTTATTATAAGCAGCATATAACTGGATTTTTTATCCATTCAATTTATATCTTTTACATGGGGCATTAAATATGTTTATGTTCAAGCTTATTATTGATATATGGGCTTTGCTCTGTCATATTGTTAGTTATTTTCTGTTGGTTTTGTATATTCTTTGTTCTTTTTCTCTTTTTTTTTGTCATTGTGGTTTGGTGGATTTCTATAGTGGTATCATTTGAGTCCCTTCTTTTCCTCTTCATATGACTGCTTTACCAGTGAGTTTTATACTTTTGGGTGTTTTATAATGGTAAATATCCTTCTTTTGCTTTTAAGTTTTGGGCTCTGTTGAGTTTCTTGTAGGGCCAGTCAAGTCGTAATAAATTTTGTCAGCATTTGCTTTTCTAGGATAGACTTTATTTCTCCTTCATTTATGAAGGATAATTTTGTTTGATATAGTACTCTTTGCTGAGAAGTTTTCCTTTTCATTTTAGCACTTTGAATATACCACTTCTGACCTGTACGGTTTCTGCTGAGAAATCCACTATTAGTCTAATGCGGTTTTCTTCATTGGTGAGCAGATGCTTTTCTCTTGCTGTGTTTAGAATTCATTCTTTAGGTTTGCCTTTAGGTAGTCTGACTAAAACATGCCACAGAAAAACTCGTTTTACATTGTATTTGTGATATGGTTTGGATGTTTTCTCCATTCCCTCCAAATCTCATGTTGAAATGTGACTTCCAATGCTGGTTTTGAGCCTAGTGGGAGATGTTCAGATCATAGAGGCATGTCCTTCATGAATGGCTTGGTGCTGACCTCATGGAGTAGTGAGTAATTCTTGCTCTGAATTCACACAAAATTTGGTTGTTTCAAAGAGTGTGGCACTGGCTCCCTTTATCTTTCTTTGTCCCCCCTCACCACATGATACACTGGCTTCTCCAGTGCCTTCTGCCATGATTGGAAGCTACTATCAAGAGCAGATGCTACAGCCATGCATTTGGTACAGCCTGAAGAACTATGAGCCAAAATAAACATCTTTTCTTTATAAATTGCCCAGTCTCAGGCATTCCTTTATAGCAATGCAAATAAACTAACACAATCTGCCTGGGGATCCCTGAGACTCCTGTATCTGAATGTCTAGATTTTGTGGTAGACTTGGAGAGTTTTCATCTATTATTTCATTAAATAGATTTTTCAAATCCTCTTATTTTCTCTTCACACTTGCAAATACCAATAATTTGGATATTTGATCACGTTATGTTGTCCTAACTGTCACAAAGGCTTTGCTAATTCTCTTTTAGCCATTTTTTCTACATTTTTGTCTGACTGGATTATTTCAAAAGGCCTGTTTTCAAATTTCGAGATTCTTTCTTCTGCTTCAAATTCTGAGATTCTTTCTTCTGCTAGTCTATTGTTGAAGCTGTCAAATATATTTTTTATTTCATTTAATAAATTGTTCTGTCCCATATTTTCTATGTAGTTCTTTCTTAAAAAAAATCTATCTTTTTGGTAAATTTATCATTAATATCCTGAATTGTTTTCTTATTTGTTGGTATTGTTTTCAGAATTCTATTTCACTGAGCTTCTTTAAAAATCAATATTTTGAATTATTTACCTGGGATTTCAAAAATTTCTATTTCATTAAGATCTATTACTGAAGAATTATTGTGTTCCTTTGGAGGTGTTATATTTCCTTATTTTATTGTGTTTCCTGTTTCCTTATGTTGATATCTGCACGTCTTGTATAAACAGTCTCTTCTTCCTATTTTTGAATGTATTTTCAATAAGTGAAGGAATTTTTCTGAAGATGTATCTATCGTTTTCACTGGATGGGGCACTTTGGCTTTGATTCCAGATGCATACAGTAGTGTAGTCTCTGTATGGTTTATTTGGCTGTAAAATGCATTAATGCTTCTGTGATTTTTCGCAACGGTTTAGGGTACAGGTATTATTGGAGGCTGTAGTGAAGTTGTACTGGTGACTAGAGTGCCAGGTATTCCAGTCTTCAGGCTCGAGTGGGGACAGTGGTGAGATGCAAGTGACTATTCTTGTGTCCCAGGGGGATTTACACTGGCAGCAGTGTTGACAGTTACTGGTAGGCCAATTCTTGGACTTCCAGGTGGCTTGCTCAGGTAGTGGCAATAGTAAGCTGCGTGAGCATATGGGTTTTCAGGCCCCTGGGCAGCCAGCATGTTGTGGGTGATGGCAGTAGCAGCGGCAAGACAATTATCTGCATCTCGAGCAGTGTGCGTTGATGTTGGTTGTGGCTACCATGGACTGGGCTGGGTGAGCCAGTCTCCAGGCCTGAAGGTAACTCTTGCAGGTTGGTGCCAGCTGAGGTAGTAGGGATTGGAGATGTAGGCTCAACCTCAGCCTCCTGGGAGGAGTGCTCAGGTTCCCAGTGTGGTAGATTGGATTGGGAAACCCCCAGGGCCCCAGACTATGTGCTCTGTCTTAGGGAGAGGCGAAGCTGGGCAGAGAGGTCTTGTGCTCATCCTTCCCAATGGTGACAGCAGGCACCAGCTATAGTGGGTGGGAACAGGGCAATTCAGGCCACAGGCAGAGTGTTTGGGTGAGGGGCAGTTATAGCTGCACTAAGGCTTTGCCACTGGAAAGGGCTGGTCCTGCCTCAGTGGCCACAGACTGAGCCAAGAGGCAGAGAATATGCCTGTCTCTCATCACCCTGTCCTGGTGAGGCTCCCTCCTCCAATCCTAGCTGTAGAAGTCCTTGCTCAGTTTGTGACTGCAACCTGCACCCCACTCACATACTAGATTGAGTTCTGGCAGTGCTTGCTTTCCAGAACCAGGAGCTATATCCTTGCTTGCTTCTCAGCCCAGCTGTGGGAGCAATCCCAGCTTCTACCACAGTCCTAGCAGTGAGAGCCGGAGCATCCCTAATGCCTCAAACCCAATGCTGCTAGGCCCCATGACAGTTTGCAGTCTGTCAAAAGCTAGGTTTAAAAATGGCACCTTGCTGTAGCCACCAAAGTCTCAGAAAAGGTATGGGACCCAACATGATCTCCCTCTAGGAAACTCCCTGTGATAGGTTCAGGGCTTGAGAAGGTCAAGGGGCTTTCCCATGGCCTGGATTCCACAGTGGTGGTGTGGGCCACTGGAAGTCTCTCACTTACCCTTTCCCCATTTTGGGAAGTAATTCCTGGCTCCCAGCCAATTTCAGCCAAGCAGGCTGCTATTCTTTTGGTCTTTTTGAAATATTTTGTATCTGTGCAGTCAATATGGTAGCCAATAGTCACAGGTGGCTATTGAGAACTTGAAGTGTGGCTAATTAAATGGAGAAGCTAAAGTTTTACTTATATAAGTTTGATTAATTTAAATATAAGTGTAAGAACCATTATAATTATAATACACATGTTATATAAATGTTTATAAAATAAATATAAATACAATAACCAGCTATATTTAGTTAGAATTTTAGTATTTTCTTTACTTTCAAATTTTCTGTCTCTCTATATTCATGGAATTACTAATGATAATTATTTAATACTGTCATCAGCGATCTCTATTATTCAGATCATTTATGTACCTATTCCTAAGATGTGTTTTTATGTTTCTTTTTACTGTCCAGTCATATGATCTTTTCTATTGACATGTCTTGTAATTTTTAAATTATTTTCTAGATAATGTTGTATAAATCATTCAAAGGCTTGAGATTATGACATCATCTGTGAGAGAATATTTACATTTTTTCCTATGCTTATAGAATAGGAAATTAATCATCTTAATCCGATTAGGAATACAGAGCTGAAATTCTAGGATGCTCACATCAAAGTGTATTAAAAATTAATCTACCTCTGGTTTACCGCTCTTCCTAAAGCTAGCACTTCAGAATTTTTAACTGAGAAACTTGTCCTTAACCATGGGCTCTTCCCCCAACACATACTTATCTGAATTGGAAGATGCTCTACTCTTCATGTTTTTCCCTTAGTTTCTGGCATCCCTCACACATATAGATTCCTAATTCAGCAAATGGCTTGAGCGAAATAGCTATGTGTATGAGGAAACACAAGCCTTCAATTTTTGTCACTCTAATATTGACTAAGGCTGAAATGTTCTCCCAGCAGTGGGCTTCTCCCACGATAAATCTATATTTTAAGCTTCTTAGTCATACCCCAAATTATAAAACGTTTCCAAATAAAAAGTTGATTGCGAATATTAGCTAACTACTCTGAGATACTCCTTTCTTGAAAATCTAAGTTTTTCTAATTTTGAATGATTTTCCAGCTCTCTGATTCCTTCCATTATATGATTTTTCCATTAATTCGGAGTCCTTAAATTGATCTCAGCAGGAATGCTGAGATAGCCAAAACTACTTCATTCTATTCAGAAATGAACACACAATTGGTATTTCTTTTCCTAAATCGGTATTTTTTACATACAATTTGAGAGGGGTGAAGTTAGGGAGTCTTTTTTGCCTTAACTTTATCCCAGAGTATCTTTGTCCTACCTGATTACATCCAATACAACTTTCTATAAAATATTTTATTTCTGAGGTAATAAAATAGAACATTAATCTAGAACATAGAAACTCTTTAACCTATAATAACCGGTATTTTTTTTCTAATTTTAGATTTCCTAGCAGCTAATCAAGAATCAATAGTACCTATAATAGGGATAAAATACATTAGGAATTGCTAGGTGCAAATAACAAGTCTCAATTATTCTCCCCAAAATCAATATTATCATGGAAAGCTAATACTAGTAAAAATAACACAGCTGACAAGTCCACCCATCATCTTCTAAAGACCTCTTCAAAGATACATTTTTTCTTGGCTATTTGTATTTCTCTACTTAATTATGATTAATTCAATTATTCTTTTTAAAATTAATTTGATTAGTCTCTATCTATATTGTACTTCTCAGAATATCTATACATTTCATTAATCGTTATTTTTAATTACATGCCTTACTCCCAATAATTTTAAAGATTTTTTTATCTCCTGGTACCAGACATTGTCTGGTATGTAACAGGTTTTATATAAATGTTATTTTTTATTTGCTCCCCTCCCTGGTAATATGTGTTTCTTTGTGTCAAGATGATTTGGCATATTTTTTCTTAGATGTTATATATTTATATTTCCTGATTAGCACCCAAGTAATGCTATTTTTTCCTGGGAAATATGTCTTTTTATATATGCTACTCAGATGGACAGATGTACTAAGTCCTAGATTCATATCTGAGGTTACTCCACAAGATTAATAATTCCTAATGCTGCCACAGCCTGCTAAACTGTGCTAATCTGATAAAGGCTGTTGGGAAAACACTTAAGAGATTAGAGATTTGGAGTTAAGCAACTCTAATTTCAAGAACTTACTTTGAAAAAACTGCTTTATCTGTAATGATTATTCCCTGAAATGTATAAAATGAAGATTAAATAATATTCAAATGTCTTTACAGTCATAGCTTTATAGAAGCTGACTTCAACCTCTATCAATAATATTATCTTTTACCACATATATTCTAAATTTCAATCGAAGTAAAATAGTCATAATTACCTAAATCTAGTCCTACACTTTCCTGCCTCTGACATTGCTTAGATCTTTGCATCACCAATAATAATCCCTATTGATATTTCTTCCTCTCAACATCCTAACTTTCTTCAACTTCAACTCAAACTTTTTCCATAAAGCCTTCCCTGATCTGCTATTGAGAATAAATTTCCCTTTTTTCTCTAAAGTTGAAGGCTTTTTACACTTTGTGTTACATTTTAGTCACTTATGTTTATATACAATTGCTCCTACCAGCTTTTAAGTTCCTCTAAGTTGAAAACATTATTAGTTATTTATTGCTGTATAATAAATTACCCTAAAATTTAGTATCTTAAGGCAATAAACATCTGTTGGTCAGCAATTAGGGAGTAGCTTAGCTATATGCTTTGACTTGGTTTTTTATGAATGTTTTAGTCAAAATTTGACCACAGCTGCAGTCATCAGGATTCATCTTCAACTTGGCTCATGTGCATGGCTATGGACAGGAGGTTCCAGTTCCTCACTGGTTGTTAGGGATAGTGCTCAGTTACTTGTTAAGCTGCTTGAGTGTTCTTCAACATTACGGGTAGCTTCCCTCAGGATGAGTGACCCAAGAGGGAGAGAGCAAGAAGGAAGCTAAAATGCTTTTATTACAAAGCCCCAGAAGTCATATATCATCAATTCTGACATACTTTCTTTGTTAGAAATGAGTTATTAAGTATAGCCCAAAGTCAAGTGGAGGAGGATTAGACTCTCACCATTGAAAAAAAGAGCAATGAATAATTTCTGAATACATTTTAAAACAACCACAAGAATAATATCTCATTAATATCCATATAATTGTATAATCATGCCTAGTGAATTTTGAATAAATGAATGGTTTGATGTATATTAATCTGTATATAGTGCACTTGTGGATTTATTTTTTATATACTCCTTATAGTCACTAGAAGGCGAGAGTGAGGTGGTATTTATATTGATGTTTACATTTATAGTGACCATATATCCTAATTTGCCAGGGACAGATTCAATTAATACCAGTTGTTCCAGCATCCCATGCCACTCAATAATAGTTCTGGAGTTTTCCTTTAAATGAATGGTTGCTATCAAGCATTAACATAAATTGGGATTTGTTTGGTCTCTTTACTTTCAGAAACCTGTAATTAAGAAAATTATCTCTTCAACACGTTTGAAATATCAAAGGTGCCTTAGACAACTCTAACAGATACAACATAAAAAATACTTCAATTGGAGGACAAATGGAGAGTCCTACTGAGTGAAGCAAAATATCCGCAAGCAGGAATAACTAGGAATAGCTGACTCCATCTAGTTTCTGGCAGTAGTGGAAAAATATTCAATGCTGTTGCACCTGCCAATTACTTCATTAATAATCAGTTGTGCCATGTCCTGTGCAATATTGCAAAGCCACGAGATGGCTTTTTTAGTGAAAACTGTAGTAAGCTGTCAGCTATTTATAAGTGAAATATGAGAAGGAAAAAGATATTCAGTATTTAGACTGCATAGAAAGAATAGTCTGAACATTTTGGCTATATGTGTTCTTACCATATATTGTATTTTACTTAATTTTTTTATTATACTATAAGTTTTAGGGTACCTGTGCACAACGTGCAGGTTTGTTACGTATGTATACCTGTGCCATTTTGGTGTGCTGCACCCATTAACTCATCATTTAGCATTAGGTATATCTCCTAAGGCTATCCCTCCCCGCTCCCCCCACCCCACAACAGGCCCCAGAGTGTGATGTTCCCCTTCCTGCGTCCATGTGTTCTCATTGTTCAATTTCCACCTATGAGTGAGAACATGCAGGGTTTGGTTTTTTGTCCTTGTGATAGTTTGCTGAGAATGATGTTTTCCAGCTTCATCCATGTCCCTACAAAGGACATGAACTCATCATTTTTCATGGCTGCATAGTTTTCCATGGTGTATATGTGCCACATTTTCTTAATCCAGTCTATCATTGTTGGACATTTGGCTTGGTTCCAAGTCTTTGCTATGGTGAATAGTGCCTCAATAAACATATGTGTGCATGTGTCTTTATAACAGTATGTTTTATAATCCTTTGGGTATATATCCAGTAATGGGATGGCTGGGTCAAATGGTATTTCTAGTTCTAGATCCCTGAGGAATCACCACACTGACTTCCACAATGGTTGAACTAGTTTACAGTCCCACCAACAGTGTAAAAGTGTTCCTATTTCTCCACATCCTCTCCAGCACCTGTTGTTTCCTGACTTTTTAATGATCGCCATTCTAACTGGTGTGAGATGGTAACTCATTGTGGTTTTGATTTGCATTTCTCTGATGGCCAGTGATGATGAGCATTTTTCATGTGTCTTTTGGCTGCATAAATGTCTTCTTTTGAGAAGTGTCTGTTCATATCCTTCATCCACTTTTTGATGGGGTTGTTTTTTTCTTGTAAATTTGTTTGAGTTCTTCGTAGATTCTGTATATTAGCCCTTTGTCAGATAAGCAGATTGCAAAAATTTTCTCCCATTCTGTAGGTTGCCTGTTCACTGTGATGGTAGTTTCTTTTGCTGTGCAGAAGCTCTTTAGTTTAATTAGATCCCATTTGTCAATTTTGGCTCTTGTTGCCATTGCTTTTGGTGTTTTAGTCATGAAGTCCTTGCCCATGCCTATGTCCTGAATGGTAATGCCTAGGTTTTCTTCTAGGGTTTTTATGGTTTTAGGTCTAACATTTAAGTCTTTAATCCATCTTGAATTAATTTTTGTATAAGGTGTAAGGAAGGGATCCAGTTTCAGCTTTCTACATATGGATAGCCAGTTTTCCCAGCACCATTTATTAAATAGGGAATCCTTTCCCCATTGCTTGTTTTTCTTAGGTTTGTCAAAGATCAGATAGCTGTAGATATGCCGAGTTATTTCTGAGGGCTCTGTTCTGTTCCATTGGTCTATATCTCTGTTTTGGTACCAGTACCACGCTGTTTTGGTTACTGTAGCCTTGTAGTATAGTTTGAAGTCAGGTAATGGGATGCCTCCAGCTTTGTTCTTTTGGCTTAGGATTGACTTGGCGATGCGGGCTCTTTTTTGGTTCCATATGAACTTTAAAGCAGTTTTTTCCAATTCTGTGAAGAAAGTCATTGGTAGCTTGATGGGGATGGCATTGAATCTATAAATTACCTTGGGCAGTATGGCCATTTTCACGATATTGATTCTTCCTACCCATGAGCATGGAATGTTCTTCCATTTGTTTGTTTCCTCTTTTATTTCATTGAGCAGTGGTTTGTAGTTTGTCCTTGAAGCGGTCCTTCACATCCCTTGTAAGTTGGATTCCTAGGTATTTTATTCTCTTTGAAGCAATTGTGAATGGGAGTTCACTCATGATTTGGCTCTCTGTTTGTCTGTTATTGGTGTAGAGGAATGCTGTGATTTTTGCACATTGATTTTGTACCCTGAGACTTTCCTGAAGTTGCCTGTCAGCTTAAGGAGATTTTGCACTGAGACTATGGGGTTTTCTAGATATACTATCATGTCATCTGCAAACAGGGACAATTTGACTTCCTCTTTTCCTAATTGAATGCCCTTTATTTCCTTCTCCTGCCTGATTGCCCTGGCCAGAACTTCCAACACTATGTTGAATAGGACTGGTGAGAGAGGGCATCCCTGTCTTGTGCCAGTTTTCAAAGGGAATGCTTCCAGTTTTTGCCCATTCAGTATGATATTGGCTGTGGGTTTGTCATAGATAGCTCTTATTATTTTGAGATACCTAAGTTATTGAGAGTTTTTAGCATGAAGCATTGTGGAATTTTGTCAAAGGCCTTTTCTGCATCTGTTGAGATAATCATGTGGTTTTTGTCGTTGGTTCTGTTTATATGCTGGATTATGTTTATCGATTTGCATATGTTGAACCAGCCTTGCATCCCAGTGATGAAGCCCACTTGATCATGGTGGATAAGCTTTTTGATGTGCTGCTGGATTCGGTTTGCCAGTATTTTATTGAGGATTTTTGCATCAATGTTCATCAGGGATATTGGTCTAAAATTCTCTTTTTTTGTTGTGTCTCTGCCAGGCTTTGGTATCAGCATGATGCTGGCCTCATAAAATGAGTTAGGGAGGATTCTCTCTTTTTCTATTGATTGGAATAGTTTCAGAAGGAATGGTATCAGCTCCTCCTTGTACCTCTGGTAGAATTCGGCTGTGAATCCCTCTGGTCCTGGCCTTTTTTTGGTTGGTAAGCTATTAATTATTGCCTCAATTTCAGAGCCTGTTATTGGGTCTATTCAGAGATTCAACTTCTTCCTGGTTTAGTCTTGGGAGGGTGTATGTGTCGAGGAATGTATCCATTTCTTCTAGATTTTCTAGTTTATTTGCGTAGAGGTGTTTATGGTATTCTCTGATGGTAGTTTGTATTTCTGTGGGATTGGTGGTGATATCCCCTTTATCTTTTTTTATTGCATCTATTTGATTCTTCTCTCTTTTCTTCTTTATTAGTTTTGCTAGCGGTCTATCAATTTTGTTGATCTTTTCAAAAAACCAGCTCCTGGATTCATTGAAATATTTAACTATATGTCTTAGTATTTTAAATACCTGTTTTTATTTTACAGGCAACTCTGATGGCAGGAATGAACTAAATTTTTATTTGAATTAAAACTCTGTTTTAGAAATGAACTGAATTTCAATTTCTCAAGGAACCTGACAATAAAGGTATAAAATTCAAACACGTTGAAATTTACTGCCCCGCCATGAAGACTGCAGCAAAATCACTGACATATGGCTATGAGAAGATATAATTCTGCTGAAGAAGTATCAGTATAAAGTTCAAAAGTTAGTATTATAAGAAGGATGTGAAAAAGATAAGCCCCATGGGCATGTGCAGAAGGTACATTTATATATTATTTGGTGAAGCATTTTTTATTTGATGGAAATCGACTTTACTATTTTATTTATTCCAAGTATTTTTGTGTATGTTTGAAAAACAAAATGATAGCTCTTAATGCACTGGCTCCTTTAGCAGAAGGAGAATTTTCAAGATAGGTGGGTGATGCCAGTGTTAGCATTTTAGTGTTATCAAATGCTTGAAATGAGAGTATAAATTATGACTATAAATGTTCAATATTTTTATGCACATCAAAAAATCAAAATAAGGCTTTTGAAAGCTTATTCAAACTGATATTTTTTCTTCCAGCTTAAACAAATTTTGTAACTGACATGTAATAATTGTACATACTTATGGATTACAGAGTGATGTTGCAATATATGTGATGTACAGTGATCATTTCAAGGTAATTAACATATTCATCATTTCAGAAATATTTATCATTTCTTTGTTATGGAACATTCAATAGCCTCCTTCTAGCTCTTAGAAAATGTATAATATATTACTGTTAACTCTAGTCACACTACAGTGCTATAGAACAGTAGAACTTACTCCTCCCATGTAGCTTCAATTTTATCTCATTTAACAAATCTCTTCCTATTCCTCCTCCCCGCTAACATTTCCAGCCTCTAGTATCCTCTTTGTACTTCTGTGCATGCTCTTCTTAGCTTTCACATATAAGTGAGAACATGTGATGTTTAACTTTCTGTTCCTGCCTTGTTTCACTTAATATAACGTCCTCCAGTTCCATTAATATTGCTATGAATGACAGGATTTTATTCCTTTGTGTGGCTGAATAGTATTCCATTGTATAAATACACCAAATTTTCTTTATCCATTCATCTGTTGTTAGAAACCTAGGTTGATTCTGGACCTTGGCTATTTGAATGGTGCTGCAGTAAACATGGGTGTGCAGATGTCTCTTCAATGTACTGATTTTCTGTCCTTTGGATACATGTCCAGTAGTGGGATTGCTTGATAATATGGTAAATCTATTTGTAGATTTTTGAGAAACTTCATAGTGTTCTTCATAATGGTTATACTATTTTACATTTCCACAAACAGTGTATAAGAGTTCTCCTTCCTTTACGTCCTCTCCAGTATTTGTTATTTTTTTAAGTAATAGCCATCCTAACTGGACTAAGATGACACCTCATTTTATTTTTGATTTGCATTTTCCTGATGATTAGTGATGATAGCATTTTTTCATATATTTCTTGGCTACTTGCATGTATTCTTTCGAGAAATGTCTGCTCAGATCATTGGTCAATTTTTTAATTTGACTCTCTTATTTTTTGCTGTTGAGATGTTTGAATTCCCTGTATATTCTGGATATTAATGTCCCATCAGGTCAATGGTTTGCAAATATTTTCTTCCATTATGTAGGTTTTTGTTTCACTCTGTTATTGTTTCCTTGGCTCTGCAGAAGCTTTGTGTTTGATGTAATCCCATTGGTTTATTTTTATTTTTGTTGCCTGTGCTTTTGAGGTCTTATTCATAAAATCTCTTCCCAAACCAAGGTCCTAAGGAATTTCCCGTATGTTTTCTTCTAGGAGATTTATAGTTTTGGGTCTTACATTTAGATCTTTCATCTATTTTCAGTTGAGTTTTGTCTAAGGTAAGACGTTGGGATCTAGTTTCCTTCTTATGCATATGAATATACAGTCTTACAAGTACCATTTTTCGAAGAGACTGTCATTTCTCCAGTGTATGTTCTTGATGCTTTTATCAAAAATAATTTGGCTATAGACATGTGGATTATTAGTAGGTTCTCTATTCTGATCCATTGGTCGATATTTCTGTTTTTATGCCAGTAAGTGCTATTGTAAATTAAGTTAAAATGATCATTATTGAAGATAAAAATACTTTAAATAGTATAATGCAAATATACATATCGGTGGAATACAGCATCATGGTAAATCCAATGTTTTGTCTAAATTAACAAACCTATGTGACAGAAATAGACTTCAAAGTCTTTGTAAAATATACCTAATTCAGTGTTACATCCAAACAAGTTCTGACAGCCTATCCAACTAAAAAGATGCTATAGTTGATAAATTTTACGTATACCAAAACAACTACAAAATTTTGATGATCATCAAGAAATTGAATACAAATTTTAAAAAGTACTTTTACTTACTGTCCTTAATCAATAGGATTTTAGAAATGCTTAACCTTTAAATGACCACTTTATAAATCAGTCTAGGTGTTCTACAATGGTATAGGATTGGGGTGCGTAATTAATTCAATATGTTAGTTTATTTTGTTAGAAATCAATGATAAATCTGTAAAATATTCAACAAATAGAATGTCACAAAAGTTCAACATTTGAAGCTCTTAGCCACTTCAAATTATTGATAACTATATTTGCAAATAAAAAGGCAATAAAATTTGTTCTTATAAAAGGAAAATTAAATAATGAGAGCTCAATTGTATAAGTAGGCTTTGGGTATGTCAACTTTTGGAAAGACTCCTTTATATTCTACACAACTAGAATGAAACTGAGATCTATTATTTTAGAATATCTATACTTAGTAAAATATTCAAAACAGTCATAAATAGAGACAACACATTTGATGTGTTTTGTCCTTTAAAAAAATAATTAGGAAAGTTGTTCTGAAATAAGGCAAGAAAATACCTGTGAAAATATTTGAACCACTATATTTACACATTTCAATTTAAAACATTACAATTAAGAATTTTTTTATCTGGCAGAATTTGTTCTGAGCTTACTGAATACATTGTGTTTCCTCGCTTTGAAATATTAACATAGACAGACAGTGGTCAGTTGACGGTATCAACAATTTCAAATGTATTTATTAACTGCTTTTTGCATAAAAATAATGCAGGCAATTTTGTTAAATGTATTAGGTTGTTGCAAAAGTAATTGTGGTTTTTGCCACTAAAAGTAATGGCAAAAACAGCAATTACTTTTGCACCCACAAAATAAAATTAAAATATCAGGTTGATAAATACAGTCTTTAGAAAAAAATATGTAACATGGTATTAGAGACATTTCATAAGTTAATATACTTATAAAATATGTAAATATACATCAAAAATTAACTATACTGTTTCTGTTACTTTTAATGTTCAGATAATCAATAGAAAACCTTTTTACTCACTATAAAATGCTTGGATTTATGCTATTTTTATATTTTAGAAATAATTTTATTTTTGAAAGTACTTGTTGAATAGAATTATATGTCCATTGACATATAAATATGTTGGTCAATAAATATTTCAAAATATTAGAACTATATGAGTATCATTTTAAATATTCTATTAGTCCTCCTTTAGTCTCAAAGCGATCATGGATGAACAATTAATTATATGGCCAATCTACTTTTATTATTTTTATGTTTCTATTATCATCACTAAGCCTCTGCTTCCTCCCCTTCAAATTACCAATTTTTATAATCTTTGACATATTAAGAATGACTTCCTGTTTTTTCTTGGAAACTAGTGTCTTTATTTTTCAGTTGACATGAACTACTACCATGCAATTCTATGTTGACCAACACTTCTTTGAAATTGCGAAAAAGACTAAATCTCTAGTTTCCTTTCAATAAAATAAAGGCTTGGAAGACTGATGAAGGGCTAAATTTAATTTTTACAAGTTACTTACTATGGAGCCTTAGAACATTATATAATCTCTTCACACATTATGTAATATTATTCCTTATCTGTGTTACAAATATAATAACGCTTACTTCACAAGTTTTCTGTAAATATAATATCATAACTCACCAAATTGGCAATGATTCAAAAGCTTGATAGTACACTGTTGGTGCAAACAAAAGGAAACATGAACTCTCATACAGTGCTGGTGGGATTGCAAACTGATACAACCCATACGGAGAGGAGTTTGGCAATCTTTTACTAAACTGCATACACATTTATCTTTTGACTCAGAAATCTCAATTCTAAGAATATACTAGGAACGCCTCCAAAAATAGAAAAATACATATGCACAAAGTTAGTCATTCTGTATAATTGATCACTGCAAAATGTTGGAAAATAGCTAAACATTCCAGCATAGAAGATCCACTGAATGAACTATGGTACCTACAAACAAACTGATACCATAAAGACTTTTAAAAAATAAAATGAGGAACAATTCTATGAACAACTCTGAAGGGATTTCCAAGAGATATTGTAAAATTTAAAAAGTAAAGTGTGAAGTGATTTATATTAGTACACTAGCCTTACCAGGCATGGTGGCATGTGCTTGTAGTTCCAGCTACTCAGGAGGCTGAGGCAGGAGGACTGCTTGAGCCTGGGAGTTCAGGGCTGCAGTGAGCTGTGATCATGTCACTAGACTCCAGCCTGAGCAACAGGATGAGACCCTGGCTCAAGAAAAAAAAAAAAAAAGAAAAAAGAGGAGGGTGATGGAGAAAGAGAAAGAAAAGAAAATATAGAGCCAGGCACAGTGGCTCATGCCTGTAATCCCAGTACTTTGGGATGCCGAGGTGGGTGGATTGCTTGAGGTCAGAAGTTTGAGACCAGACTGACCAACATGCTGAAACCTCATCTCTACTAAAAACATAAAAATTAGCCACGTGTGGTGGCAGGCATCTGTAATCCCAGCCACTCAGGAGGCTGAGTCTGGAGAATTGCTTGAACTTGGGAGGCAGAGGTTACAGTGAGCTGAGATCGCTCCACTGCACTCCAGCCTGGGTGACAAAGCAAGACTCTGTCTAAAAATTAGAGGAAAAGAAAAGAAAATATATATACATTTGCTTATCTTTCCAAAAAGAAATATAGAAAAGATAAACCGAAAAACAATGAAATTTATTATATGCAAGGGTGCAGGAGAAAACAGTGGAATGGATATGGAAAGGAAAGACGTTTATCTGAATATACCTTTTTTGCATGATCATGAGAATCTTTTTGAAATTATTGTACATTAAAAATATTAAGTCTACAAATTCATCTAATTCAAAGAATTCTTTTCAAAGAAGTATCATAAACACACTGAAGAAAAAAAGGAAAAAAATTGAACTCAAGTAATTTATAAGGGCATTCTTTGGCTGGGTGATTGTTATCAATCTTGGGCAGTATGGGTTAGTGAAGGGAGGGGACTACTACAAACAAACCCTGGGCCATTCTTAGAACATTTTATTTTTTAGTCATATGAGCAAAGCAATTTTGAAATCATTTCAGATATATTATAGAATTGAGAAAATAAGTAAATGTATTGATGTTGGGAGCCAGAGTTGAAGGAGGGAGATAAAAATATAAAATAGGGGAAGAAAGAACCTTGTGGAAAGGAATTAAATTTAGAGATACTGGTGTAAGCTTATGGTTTCAAATGTATGCATTTGAGTGTGTATTTACATGTACATATGTGTATATATGTACACATACATATATATGCATACATATGTGTATAGATGTAGATATAGATATATAAATATATGGTCATACACATGTATGCATGTATTCCCTATCTCTGACCACTATAAACAGAAATATTCATTAACAATACACATATCTAGCAACTCAGAGATCATGATTTTTTAAATCATATTCCCCACTTAAAGGAAAAACATTTTCAGGGCTACTATGTCATAATTAAGAAGCTCTCAAAAAAAATGATGAGGACATGTGACAGGGATACAAGTACTAGCTTAAAGGGGATCCACTGTTTAGATCTGGAAAACTCTGAACACCAAGATTATTAAGTGTAATAATTAAAAACAATTGAAAAAATAGAAATCTATGCACCCAAACCAATCATTAACAGTTAAATATGTATGTACATACATACACAAATACATAAATAAACTTGTAAATGGGAGGTGGTTAAGTTCCAGCTAATAAATGTGATGCACATGCCATAATGGGAAAATTATCCTTTTGCAAACATATAGTAAAATTTTGTTAATTTAAGAATCATCAATGGATGATAAGCTTTGGGGGAAATTTCAGTGAGCCAGTGAGCACAGAATATTTTCATGCCTTAAAAGTGTTTCTCACAAATTGCTTATTATTTGCAAGGGAAAATGTACTACATTATACAGTAGAGAAATGAGACATCCCCTTGTCGGGGTATTGAAAACTGATATAACCAGTGAAACAAATGAATGCCATGTGCCCCCAAATGTGATTTTCTGAGAAGTGCACGACTTCACCTAAGTATTATTCCAGCAAGAAATAAATAATGTGAATCTAATGATGAGGAAACATCAAGAAAGCTCAGGTTGAGGAATCATTTATGGAATACAAGTAGTAGGAAGATGGCCGAATAGGAACAGCTCCGGTCTACAGCTCCCAGCGTGAGTGGCGCAGAAGACAGGTGATTTCTGCATTTCCATCTGAGGTACCGGGTTCATCTCACTAGGGAGTGCCAGACAGTGGGTGCAGGACAGTGGGTGCAGCGCACCATGTGCGAGCCAAAGCAGGGCAAGGCATTGCCTCACTCCGGAAGTGCAAGGGGTCAGGGAGTTCCCTTTCCTAGTCAAAGAAAGGGGTGACAGACGGCACCTGGAAAATCGGGTCACTCCCACCCTAATACTGCGCTTTTCTGACGGGCTTAAAAAACGGCGCACCAGGAGATTATATCCCGCACTTGGCTCAGAGGGTCCTACGCCCACGGAGTCTCACTGATTGCTAGCACAGCAGTCTGAGATCAAACTGCAAGGTGGCAGCGTGGCTGGGGGAGGAGCGCCCGCCATTGCCCAGGCTTGCTTAGGTAAACAAAGCAGCCGGGAAGCTTGAACTGGGTGGAGCGCACCACAGCTCAAGGAGGCCTGCCTGCCTCTGTAGGCTCCACCTCTGGGGGCAGGGCACAGACAAACAAAAAGACAGCAGGAACCTCTGCAGACTTAAATGTCCCTGTCTGACAGCTTTGAAGAGAGCAGTGGTTCTCCCAGCACACAGCTGGAGATCTGAGAATGGGCAGACGGCCTCCTCAAGTGGGTCCCTGACCCCTGACCCCCAAGCAGCCTAACTGGGAGGCACCCCCCAGTAGGGGCACACTGACACCTCACACGGTCTGGTACTCCTCTGAGACAAAACTTTCAGAGGCACGATCAGACAGCAGCATTCGCGGTTCACGAAAATCCGCTGTTCTGCAGCCATCGCTGCTGTTACCCAGGCAAACAGGGTCTGGAGTGGACCTCTAGCAAACTCCAACAGACCTGCAGCTGAAGGTCCTGTCTGTTAGAAGGAAAACTAACAAACAGAAAGGACATCCACACCAAAAACCCATCTGTACATCACCATCATCAAAGACCAAAAGTAGATAAAACCACAAAGATGGGGAAAAAACAGAGCAGAAAAACTGGAAACTCTAAAAAGCAGAGCGCCTCTCCTCCTCCAAAGGAACGCAGTTCCTCACCAGCAATGGAACAAAGCTGGATGGAGAATGACTTTGACGAGTTGAGAGAAGAAGGCGTCAGATGATCAAACTACTCCAAGCTACAGGAGGAAATTCAAACCAAAGGCAAAGAAGTTAAAAACTTTGAAAAAAATTTGGATGAATGTATAACTAGAATAACCAATACAGAGAAGTGCTTAAAGGAGCTGATGGAGCTGAAAGCCAAGGCTCGAGAACTACATGAAGAATGCAGAAGCCTCAGGAGCCGATGCAATCAACTGGAAGAAAGGGTATCAGTGATGGAAGACGAAATGAATGAAACGAAGTGAGAAAGGAAGTTTAGAGAAAAAAAGAATAAAAAGAAATGAACAAAGCCCCCAAGAAATATAGGACTATGTGAAAAGACCAAATCTACGTCTGATTGGTGTACCTGAAAGTGACGGGGAGAATGGAACCAAGTTGGAAAACACTCTGCAGGATATTATCCAGGAGAACTTCCCCAATCTAGCAAGGCAGGCCAATGTTCAGATTCAGGAAATACAGAGAACGCCACAAAGATACTCCTCGAGAAGAGCAACTCCAAGACACATAATTGTCAGATTCACCAAAGTTGAAATGAAGGAAAAAATGTTAAGGGCAGCCAGAGAGAAAGGTCGGGTTACCCTCAAAGGGAAGCCCATCAGACTACCAGCAGATCTCTTGGCAGAAACTCTACAAGCCAGAAGAGAGTGGGGGCCAATATTCAACATTCTTAAAGAAAAGAATTTTCAACCCAGAATTTCATATCCAGCCAAACTAAGCTTCATAAGTGAAGGAGAAATAAAATACTTTACAGACAAGCAAATGCTGAGAGATTTTGTCACCACCAGGCCTGCCCTAAAAGAGCTCCTGAAGGAAGCGTTAAACATGGAAAGGAACAACTGGTACCAGCCACTGCAAAATCATGCCAAACTGTAAAGATCATCGAGGCTAGGAAGAAACTGCATCAACTAACGAGCAAAATAACCAGCTAACATCATAATGACAGGATCAAATTCACACATAACAATATTAACTTTAAATGTAAATGGACTAAATGCTCCAATTAAAAGACACAGACTGGCAAATTGGATAAAGAGTCAAGACCCATCAGTGTGCTGTATTCAGGAAACCCATCTCACTTGCAGAGACACACATAGGCTCAAAATAAAAGGATGGAGGAAGATCTATCAAGCAAATGGAAAACAAAAAAAGGCAGGGGTTGCAATCCTAGTCTCTGATAAAACAGACTTTAAACCAACAAAGATCAAAAGAGACAAAGAAGGCCATTACATAACGGTAAAGGGATCAATTCAACAAGAAGAGCTAACTATCCTAAATATATATGCACCCAATACAGGAGCACCCAGATTCATAAAGCAAGTCCTGAGTGACCTACAAAGAGACTTAGACTCCCACACATTAATAATGGGAGACTTTAACACCGCACTGTCAACATTAGACAGATCAACGAGACAGAAAGTTAACAAGGATACCCAGGAATTGAACTCAGCTCTGCACCAAGCAGACCTAATAGACATCTACAGAACTCTCCACCCCAAATCAACAGAATATACATTTTTTTCAGCACCACACCACACCTATTCCAAAATTGACCACATACCTGGAAGTAAAGCTCTCCTCAGCAAATGTAAAAAAATAGAAATCATAACAAACTGTCTCTCAGACCACAGTGCAATCAAACTAGAACTCAGGATTAAGAAACTCACTCAAAACTGCTCAACTACATGGAAACTGAACAACCTGCTCCTGAATGACTACTGGGTACATAACGAAATGAAGGCAGAAATAAAGATGTTCTTTGAAATCAACGAGAACAAAGACACAATATACCAGAATCTGTGGGACACATTCAAAGCAGTGTGTAGAGGGAAATTTATAGCACTAAATGCCCACAAGAGAAAGCAGGAAAGATCCAAGATTGACACCCTAAGATCACAATTAAAAGAACTAGAAAAGCAAGAGCAAACACATTCAAAAGCTAGCAGAAGGCAAGAAATAACCAAAATCAGAGCAGAAGTGAAGGGAACAGAGACACAAAAAACGCTTCAAAAAATTATTGAATCCAGGAGCTGGTTTTTTGAAATGATCAACAAAATTGATAGACCGCTAGCAAGACTAATAAAGAAGAAAAGAGAGAAGAATCAAATAGACGCAATAAAAAATGATAAAGGGGATATCACCACCGATCCCACAGAAATACACACTACCATTAGAGAATACTACAAACAGCTCTACGCAAATAAACTAGAAAATCTAGAAGAAATGGATAAATTCCTCGATACATACACACTTCCAAGACTAAACCAGGAAGAAGTTGAATCTCTGAATAGACCCAATAACAGGCTCTGAAATTGTGGCAATAATCAATAGCTTACCAACCAAAAAGAGTCCAGGACCAGATGGATTCACAGCCGAATTCTACCAGAGTTACAAGGAGGAACTGGTACCATTCCTTCTGAAACTATTCCAATCAACAGAAAAAGAGGGAATCCTCCCTAAGTCATTTTACGAGGCCAGCATCATCCTGATACCAAAGCCGGGCAGAGACACAACAAAAAAAGGGAATTTTAGACCAATATCCTTGATGAACATTGATGCAAAAATCCTCAATAAAATACTGGCAAACCGAATCCAGCAGCACATCAAAAAGCTTATCCACCATGATCAAGTGGGCTTCATCCCTGGGATGCAAGGCTGGTTCAATATACGCAAATCAATAAATGTAACCCAGCATATAAACAGAACCAAAGACGAAAACCACATGGTTGTCTCAATAGATGCAGAAAAGGCCTTTGACAAAATTCAACAACTCATGCTAAAAACTCTCAATAGATTAGGTATTGATGGGACGTATCTCAAAATAATAAGAGCTATCTATGACAAACCCACTGGAAGCATTCCCTTTGAAAACTGGCACAAGACAGGGATGCCCTCTCTCACCACTCCTATTCAACATAGTGTTGGAAGTTCTGGCCAGGGCAATTAGGCAGGAGAAGGAAATAAAGGGGATTCAGTTAGGAAAAGAGGAAGTCAAATTGTCCCTGTTTGCAGATGACATGATTGGATATCTAGAAAACCCCATTTTCTCAGCCCAAAATCTTCTTAAGCTGATAAGCAACTTCAGCAAAGTCTCAGGATACAAAATCAATGTGCAAAAATCACAAGCATTCTTATACACCAATAACAGACAAACAGAGAGCCAAATCATGAGTGAACTCCCATTCACAATTGCTTTAAAGAGAATAAAATACCTAGGAATCCAACTTACAAGGAATGTGAAGGACCTCTTCAAGGACAACTACAAACCACTGCTCAATGAAATAAAAGAGGGTACAAACAAATGGAAGAACATTCCATGCTCATGGGTAGGAAGAATCAATATCGTGAAAATGGCCATACTGCCCAAGGTAATTTATAGATTCAATGCCATCCCCATCAAGCTACCAATGACTTTCTTCACAGAATTGGAAAAAACTGCTTTAAAGTTCATATGGAACCAAAAAAGAGCCCGCATCGCCAAGTCAATCCTAAGGCAAAAGAACAAAGCTGGAGGCATCATGCTACCTGACTTCAAACTATACCACAAGGCTACAGTAACCAAAACAGCATGGTACTGGTACCAAAACAGAGATATATACCAATGGAACAGAACAGAGCCCCCAGAAATAACGCTGCATATCTACAACTATCTGATCTTTGACAAACCTGACAAAAACAAGCAATGGGGAAAGGATTCCCTATTTAATAAATGGTGCTGGGAAAACTGGCTATCCATATGTAGAAAGCTGAAACTGGATCCCTTCCTTACACCTTATACAAAAATTAATTCAAGATGGATTAAAGACTTAAACGTTAGACCTAAAACCATAAAAACCCTAGAAGAAAACCTAGGCATTACCATTCAGGACATAGGCATGGGCAAGGACTTCATGCCTAAAACACCAAAAGCAATGGCAACAAAAGCCAAAATTGACAAATGGGATCTAATTAAACTAAAGAGCTTCTGCGCAGCAAAATAAACTACCATCAGAGTGAACAGGCAACCCACAAAATGGGAGAAAATTTTCGCAACCTACTCACCTGACAAAGGGCTAATATCCAGAATCTACAATGAACTTAAACAAATTTACAAGAGAAATACAAACAACCCCATCAAAAAGTGGGCAAAGGACATGAACAGACACTTCTCAAAAGAAGACATTTATGCAGCCAAAAAACACATGAAAAAATGCGCACCATCCCTGGCCATCAGAGAAATGCAAATCAAAACCACAATGAGATACCATCTCACACCAGTTAGAATGGCGATCATTAAAAAGTCAGGAAACAACAGGTGCTGGAGAGGATGTGGAGAAATAGGAACACTTTTACACTGTTGGTGGGACTGTCAACTAGTTCAACCATTGTGGAAGTCAGTGTGGCGATTCCTCAGGGATCTAGAACTAGAAATACCATTTGACCCAGCCATCCCATTACTGGGTATATACCCAAAGGACTATAAATCATGCTGCTATAAAGACACATGCACACGTATGTTTATTGCGGCACTATTCACAATAGCAAAGACTTGGAACCAACCCAAATGTCCAACAATGATAGACTGGATTAAGAAAATGTGGCACATATACACCATGGAATACTATGCAGCCATAAAAAAGGATGAGTTCATGTCCTTTGTAGGGACATGGATGAAATTGGAAATCATCATTCTCAGTAAACTATCGCAAGGACAAAAAACCAAACACCGCATATTCTCACTCATAGGTGGGAACTGAACAATGAGAACACATGGACACAGGAAGGGGAACATCACACTCTGGGGACTGTTGTGGGGTGGGGGGAGGAGGGAGGGATAGCATTAGGAGATATACCTAATGCTAAATGACGAGTTAATGGGTGCAGCACACCGAAATGGCACACGTATACATATGTAACTAACCTGCACATTGTGCACATGTACCCTAAAACTTAAAGTATAATAATAATAAAAAGAAAAAAAAAGAATACAAGTAGTAGATAACGTATTTTCATTTTTGTTATTTTTTCCCATTTTAATTTTAGAGTCAGGAGGCACACATGAAGGTTTTCTTACAAGGATATATTGTGTGGTACTGAGGTTTGGGCTTCTTTTGATCCTGTGTCTCAGGTAGTGAACATAGTACCCAACAGGAAGATTTTCAACCCTTGCCCTCCCCCTCCCTTCCTCCTTTTGGAGTCCCTAGTGTCTATTGTTTCCAACTTTATGTCCTTGTGAACCCAAGATTTAGCTCTTGCTTGTAAGTGAGGATGTGCAATATTTGGTTTTCTACCTCTGCCTTAGTTTGCTTAGGATAACAGCCCCCAGTTGCATCAACGTTGCTGCAAAGGACACGATTTTATACTTTTTAATGGTTATGTAGTATTCCATGGTGTATATATACAATGTCATAAAGACCAAAAAAAAAAAAAAGGCTATGGTAATGTTTAAAAATTAAAAAGACTAAACAAACAGACAAGATAACTTAATAGAAGACCTGCATTCTGCACTGGTACAAAAATAAATGCAATAAAGGAGATTACTCAAGTGAAAACATTGAAATACAATCTGTAGATTACATAACACTATTAAATTACTGTTACAGTTTTTGACTGTTCTATGATTATATATGGTAATATAGTATTCCTAGGAAATACACAGAACTATCTGGTAATAAGGGGCTGTAGTTTACTTATTAAAATAATGTAAAATCTTTACAGTAATTTAATCTATATAAAGATGGTGTTCTTTGTACTGTTCTCATTCCTGAACTTTTCCTGTATGGCTGAAATACTTTTCAACTATATTCAGTTATAAAAAATAGCAACAATTAACATTATTGACTATTTGCTGTATAACACACTAAGTACTTAAATAGTGTTCTTTTAATTAATTATAATAACCGTTTCAGTTAGGGTCTTCTGTTTCCTCCCTTTCACAAGTGAAGACACTGAATTTAGGGAGATAGTGAGTTGAAAGTGACTGAAAAATATTAAAAACTAAATAGAATAGGTCAGCATTCTTAACTTCACACATTATAAAATTCTTTTTCTTAAAATTATACGACCCAACTGCTTTCAGCTGTTTGTTTCAGTAACACACACACACACACACACACAACCTCTTGCACACTCTTATTTAAATTCTGTCATGTGAAAAATTTGCAGCTCAAAATAAAAAGACCCTGACAGGGCGAAAGGGCTACAGCTAGTCTGTCTTCTATTTATTATCTTTTCCTTCGAATGCCTCACAATGAATTGTTTATTTCATTGCCACTGTGAGTAAGCCAAGGCTATTTCTTGTTCTAAATTTCATTTCACTGGTATTTTTGTAAATCTTTGTGAGCAAGCAGTCGTGAAGAGACCCCCCCCAAAGACCTGAAAGAAAAGTAAACTCTAAGCATAGACTTCAGATCATCCTTGGTGAGTTCAACAGTGTTCTCGGAAAGCTATTTGAGAATCAATGTAATTGAAAAGCATCAAGGTCTTTCTGCTTTGTATCTGCATTACTTTGATAGAAGTCAGTCTTTATATAAAAATAAAACATTTTTATGATAAAAGAAAGTGTGAGGTGATTTCATTTATTGGAGATGCAAGGAAATATTTAGACATGTTTAAACCACAAGAAAAATACACTCTCCTTAGAATGCTACACTCTAAACAAGTAATATACCGTAAAAAACAATTATTTTCCATGCTTCCTCTAAATGCAGAAAATGGAGAATTACCTTGAAGAAAGTACTATTTGGATACACTGAATATCATAACACAATGTTCTGGTATTAGTCCCCTATATTATAGATAAACCTCCATACCCCCAATAATAAATTCAAATTCATATCTCCCCATTTCATCCTTCTTAATATGATTATAACATAATAATTTACCACTATTTTCTTCAAGTATAATATGAAGTAACAATGAAATAAATAAATCTAAATATGCATATAATTCTTGAAAATCAAGTTTAGAACATAGTCTCAATAACCAGGGATTTAGAAGCGAGGTATGCCCAACATGTTGGATTCTAATACTTGTTAACATGTTAATCCTTTTGGGCACAGATAGATATTTATTCTCCACCCTCTGCTTTTGTTTTCCAATTCCCCACCCAAACCAGAAAACTAGTTGTTTCTATAATGCCTGTGTTATTTTGGAATTTTGTGATTTCAACTTTTTCTTTTATTGACATTTGCTTCATATTTTCTGGGTATTTCTTTTCACGTGCTTTTATTTTCCATTTTTCTGTATATTTTTCCTTTTTCTATATCTCATATAAGTTGCTGGCTACTGAAGTATTCATAATGAGAGTCAATATCTTTTTCTTTTTTAAAAAAACTGCCGATGTATAATTATTGCTATAATAGAATTTATTTTGTCATTTTTATTTCATATTATTCACTAATTGTAGTTTTGATTATTTTTTGTACTCTCTGGACATTCACAATTCCATGACAGTTAAGTAAGTAAAAAGAACCAAACTTCAAAACTGTGTATAAAGTGAAGCCCCATGTTTGGTATCTTCATATTACACATTCAAATAAACAGCAGTCTAACTCCAGAGGCCTTGAAACAATGTGGCTCTTTGCAGCATCATTGTATTATATTAGAAATACAAGCAAATAAGTAAAGTAACAGGAGAATACATAATTAATTCTGATGGTGAAATTAGGAGAGCTGAATGGAAACAACTCCCCTGGACAACTTCATAAATTTCTCCGTGGACACCTCTCCCTTTCCTAAGTACGCCATACACAGAAACTGCTAAAAAGTCTCTCATTTTTTCTTTCTTTACCTCCACAGTCTCTATCTCACTCTCCCCATACATGAATACATCAATGCCACACAGCAAGCACCTTTGAAGCACATTGTTTCTTTTCTCACTTTCTCTTTCCTCATCAGATTACTCAAACACACTGTGCTTCTAACATGTTCTCACAGACATTCATACTTTATATTGCATTCCAGAGAAGGCTAGTTCATTGTGGAAGGCTGAGTTATCATCTCTATATATTCACTATTCTCTTGAATGATTATATTTCTTTGCCCTGTTGTGCACAGGCTTTGTCATGTGACTTTCTTTAGCCAATTAAGTATTTGCAAATGTGGTGTGGGTCATTTTCAGGCAGCAGTTTTAAGAGCCATCGTAAGGAGTGGTTTCTTGTGCTCACTGATTTTTTTCTTTCACAGCTACAGGAAATATTTCTGATGGACATTTTGCACGAGTGAGAAATAAACCTTGTTAGTTGTAAGCTACTAAGATCTGGGGGTCAGTAGTTTACATAGTGTGAGCAAGCACTACTTGACCAATACGTTCAGTCTTTCTCTCTCCATAGTGATGTTACAAGCATAAGCAGCTCTGGGATATTGGGAGAGTAACTGGTTCCACAAAATGTAAGGCAGACTATGAAAAGTGCTCTATTAGAAATACAACCAAATAAGTAAAGTAACAGGAGAATACATAATTAATTCTGATGATGAAATTAGGAAAGCTGAATGGAAAGAGAGCTTAAATCAATTATGTAAGCTAATCTATTAGAGGACTTTGAGAAGGATCTTGCACAAAGGAAGCTAGGAAAAACTATCTACATCTTGGCAAAATAGTAATAATTAGAATTTTAGGAATTCGACACATTTAAGAAAATCAGTAATTAACCTTACAATAATTGGTTATGTTGCTGAGACATTTTTGTTAGATTAGGTTTTGGAGAAATAAAAGAAAATTCCAAAAAGACCCTGCAGCTAAAATGTAAGTGCATGACTCATATACCAAGTGGATTCATGTTAATTTCAGCTGAAAGGGATGATTTGGCCAAAGAGAAAGTGGGGGTTGGAGGGCGTGTATTAGTTTTCTATCACTGCTGTAAAAATTCATCACAAATGTATTGCCTTAAAACAATACAAATTTATTATTTTACAATTCTGTATGCAGAAATCCAACATGGATCTCAACTGGCTACAATCATTTGTCAGTAGGGCTGCAATCTTTTCTGGGAGCTTTAGAGAAGAATTCATGTTCTTGACTTCTGTAGCTTCTAAAGGTCCACCACTTCCCTTGACTCATGGCCCCTTACTCAATCTTCAAAACCAGCAACATTGACCCAAGTCCTCACTCTGATATCTCACTGACCCTTAAGTCCCTCTTCCACTTTTTTTTTTATTATACTTTAAGTTTTAGGGTACATGTGCACATTGTGCAGGTTAGTTACATATGTATATATGTGCCGTGCTGGTGTGCTGCACCCACTAACTCGTCATCTAGCATTAGGTATATCTCCCAATGCTATCCCTCCCCCCTCTCCCCACCCCACAACAGTCCCCAGAGTGTGATATTCCCCCTTCCTGTGTCCATGTGATCTCATTGTTCAATTCCCACCTATGAGTGAGAATATGCGGTGTTTGGTTTTTTGTTCTTGCGATAGTTTACTGAGAAGTATGAACAAATGTTCCAGGAAGCTTCAGCATGCTCTCCCTTGTTCTTCATGGTAAGCTCTTTAATCCCAGTTGAGGCTAAGCCATGGACTCTGCTTTATTGCCCTGTACCTATTAAGAATAAAGTATGTTTCTGCCTAGGGCTTTGGCACATGCTTTGCTTGTGCTATCCTGATTGACTCTCAAAGCTCGATTCCCAAGATTATTTGTGGAACCTTGCCTTCAAAAGCATCTACAAGAATAAATGCCACCACTCCACAAGACTGAGTACTTCATGACGCAAGATGAAAATGGCCACTGCCACTCAGACTGCTACAGCAAGTTGGAAGTCAAAAGTTTCCTTTTCAACCTCTAACTTAGCTTTAAAAAAAACAAAACAAAACTGTAAGTCTATAAAATGAAGGATAATGAAAAGGATGAAAGCGGTCAAAAAATTCCCCAAAGCCATTAAATGATATTAAAGAATTAGCCATTTCTGAAAATATT
Source organism: Homo sapiens (assembly GCF_000001405.40). Taxonomy (NCBI): domain Eukaryota; kingdom Metazoa; phylum Chordata; class Mammalia; order Primates; family Hominidae; genus Homo; species Homo sapiens. The sequence continues at coordinate 97,035,218 of NC_000011.10, read as the reverse complement.
TGTAACACCAAAATATCATTGACCAGAGTTAATTGAAGCTATCCATAAGAAAGAATCCAGTAACAGGGAGAGGAATCAACACGTAAATTACTTTGTTGTATTTACATCAGGTAAAATGGCTTAACAAAATCAAGACAAATGACTGTCCTTTAAATCTCAGATTTATTGCAGTGGGTTCTATTTCATTATCAACTTATTTTATTATTTAATAGAGCTGTTCAGTATGAACACCCTTGCAACTTACTGAAAACATTTCTTTGTATGCTCATGAGGTCTTTTTGGATTAAAGATTGATTACAGTGGGCAGATTATAGAAGGATATGCAAGATAATAGGATGATTCACGGGACAAGGTGGAGATACACACAACCAAAAATCAGCCAAAAGGGCTGAAAGGGAGATACAAACAAAGGTAGGCACTTAAAAAAAAAGAAGAACAAGAAAAAAAAAGTTTTGGTGGGAGGTTCCAAATCAAACTTTTTTTTATTACTGACATAAAAATATAAAGATGAGGAAAGGGAAAAAATTCCTCAAGTTTTTAGAAATTAGCTTCCATATCAAGATCAATGAAACATGGCTAGTTGGACTCAATTCAATTAATTCCTGAATAAAATTGAAATATGTCCTGTGTATCAGCACACTTTCTCCCCTGACCATTGTAAATACTCCCATGTTCCTCACAGAGCATCTTTAGGACCCTGCCATCTACCTTGTTTTCTACCTTTACAGACAATTACACCTGTCTTCAGGCATCCTGTGAACTATATTTTATAGTACTTCAGGTAAAGTCTAACTACTTTATATACAATAAGACCATCATCTCTTTGATTTATACTATATTTCTCTAGAATCTTACTTGCCTCTTTCAATAAAGAATCGTAGTGGATTTTAAGCCATGGGGAATAGTTTTATAATAACTCCCAACTTTATTTGGAATTGTTGATTTCCAAGCTAATATAGCTAATGGATTTCTGTAGCTTGCTACAGAATTTATTTTTTCTATTGGAGTTTTTCAGAATGTGTCACTTTATTTTTATTGGAATTAAATTTTAGTTGCATCTCAGCAAGTGCATTAAAAAAAGTTTCTTTTTCTCAGCCTTCTGTTCTTTTTTTGGCCATTAAATCTCCTATCTACAAGCATCTTCAAACCATAGTTGCACACATATATTGAACAGAAATTAGTAAAAGATTCTCAGTATTTTACCCCTTGATATAAAGAAACATGAGACTTTTGCAAAAGCAACTGAAGAAGAACTTTTGATATTGGTAAAAATTAAAGAAAGTAAAAGCAAGTAGATAAACAATATCTGAAAGGACAATAGAGGAAAATGCACTTTTTAAATTTCTTCTTTCCCCGCCATCTCTAGCTTGCGGAAGATATTGCTCCATTACTTTCACCTGATCACCCTTAATTTGTCTCCCAGTTCTCCCCTTTAGCTGGCTTCATAACTCCTTCAGGCCAGAAAAGAGAAAACCAATATACTTGAGTAATATAAGAAAAATATGTTTTTAACTGGATCTGTATTTATATGGATAATAAACTAATATAGCTCTTTTATAGTTTGAAGACCACAAAAAATAATCAGAAGGTAGAGAATTATGGACTTGTATATCTTCTAGAAAAAAAAAAAGTAAACTGCTGTTCCTTCCCTTACCTATCTCAATGGTGCAATATTAACTATGTTAATAAAATTGCTGATTTTGATTTTGGAGTTCCTGCAGTCTAAGGAAGAGAGGTAACATCAGGCCTTAAAAAGAGAAAGGTCAGTGGAATGCAAACCTGAAAAGGTCAGGTTACAGGGGTGGAGGCAGCTTTGCTAGACTGTCCAATTCCATGTTAGTAAACACTATGCATCTCAATAGAGAGCAGCAGAATGCCACACAGCACCCAGAGACCATTCAGGCACTCGAGCGAGGGCTGCACGCGAGCTGGAAGAGGTTTTTACTAACCATCTTTCTTGTTTCTGTCCGTGAATACTTCCTATGAAAATCAATGCATCACTGTTTTATTTGTCCAGAAAGACTAAAATCTATCTATGACCTGAAACTTTACTTTACCCTGACAAAATTACTCCCTTGGAAACAACTTTCTCCTTTATCAGTGATTAAGTTCTCTGTGATAAAGATTAGATCCATGAATAGTTAACCTTCTACTTGCGCAGGACTGAATGGTATTAGTTTGGGATATTCCCCTAAATTTGCACAGATGTGAGAACACAACTTGAAACATGAATTAATACCTCTGAGCCATTAATGAAATATTAAATGTCTTATACAGAAGGTGCCATTCTCTAGATAAGGAATCAGTTGCTAACAGAGACCTCAAACAGGAAGTTATTTTTCCTAACAGGAGGGATTGACATATTCTTTCTGTCACTCAGGGCACCACCATGACAAATGAAAGAACAAGCAACAATTGCTCATATCAGGGAAATGCCTTATTTTTTTATATTATCATCAAACCTGTGTGTCAATTATAGTATCGATCATGCTCAAAAACCCTTTGCATTATAAAGTCCTAAGCTAACCCCTTTAAACATTGTTAGGCAAACATATTGAAGCTAGTTTCAGTTAGGATCTTGACAAATGCATTAAGATGTTAGAAGCAAAAGGATGTTAATAAACGTTATGTATGGTTGGCGGAAGGGTGTAATATTGCATGGTATTTAAAAACACAGGCTCTGAAGTCAGACCAGATCCTGAACTCATGTTCTGAGTTAGAATTCCAGCTCTTCGTATACACTGTATGTTCATAAAAATAATAAAATTAATAACATTTCTAATATTACTATGTGCCAGAGTTGCATTGGCTGCTTTGCAAATACTATCTACAATCAATAAACATACTTTGCTCATGCAAAGTATGAGTAAATACTTTATTTACTTTTTTTACTCTTTATTTACTCTTGCTGCCCCCTCGCTCTCTCATGCACATACATATACCACTATCTAAACTTTAAAGGAAAATCACATGTTACAAGCTCTCAAGTTTTGTAATCCTGTATGTTGTGATACCTTCTTTCACCACTATATGCGGGCATAATTAATTAATCATTCCTCGTAATATTTTCCCATAATACACTTTAGATCAGGCTGTTGTGTCACTTCTTCATGTGCTTATACTTCTAAAAGATACATGAATTTTACCATGTGCCTTGCACAAGTTTCTTGCCTATTGTTCCTATAATATTGTTCCAGACTTTCAGTACGTCCTGAAAAATATTATTTTATTGAAGATGAGGTACCTGACACTGAATTCCAAACTGTAAACACATGAGAAAAAGTGATTCTGGAACTGTAGAATATGGTTCATAAAGGTTCAAGGTTGAAAGGGAAGAAAGTAAAAACATAGTTCAGTCAGTGCATTGGAGAGAACAATACGGTAGCAGGAAGGATCAGGAAATGTTTTTTGAATACAGCAGAGATGCTTTTTCATTAAAATAATTATTTAGCAAGTGGATGTTTGCAAATTCCTTGCAATTAAAATACAAAAACATGAGAACCAAGATTAAAAATAAAACACTAACCCAAACACCTGTGAACAAAAGAAGATCAGTGGGTCTCTGCTGATAAGAGAAGGATCACAAGATAAAAATCAGAATGACACCTCTTCATGTAATGCCTGTTGATTCAAGTGCAAGAAAACAACTTTATTGTTTTATAGAGAGGTGTATTTTTGTTAAATCATGTATGCCTATAGATCCAATTGAATCAACACTCTAAATATTTACTATAATAGAGTAACAGAAGGAGATAATTCCATATGGTTATTTCATTTGGTTAGTGCTGGAGAAAACTAATTAATTTATTCATTTATTATTTTCAAAATTTTTTTGTCTACTATGAGTCAAGCACAATTTTAGGTGCTACAGATATAGCAATTATTAAAACAAAGTCTTTGTTCTTATGGACTGTATAGTGTATTGGAAGGAGATAGACTACAGTCAAATAAACATATAAAAAAAGTATATTAAGGTGCTATATATTAAAGTATATTAAGGTGCTATATATACAGGTGCTATGGATAAAAATCAAGCAGATGAGGAGAGTCTAAAGGGTGCTATTCTGTGCAGGGTAATCAAGGAAGCCCACACTGGTTTATGTTTGAGTGGTAATCTAAAGATGGGAGGCAGGAAGTTCTTTGGATGTTGGGAGAAGCAAATGAAGAACTGCAAAAATGTGAAGCCATGCAGTCTCACTGCTCCCAATCAGTACTCTGCACTTCTTTGTAGAGCAGAGCTGTCATGAGGATTAAATGAGATAATATATACAAGGGATTTAACACGGTCTTTTCAAAACATCTAATTATCAGAACGGCTATTACTAAAAAGTCAAAAAACAACAGATTCTGGCGAGGTTGTGGAGAAAAAGGAACACTTTTACACTGTGGGTGGGAGTGTAAATTAGTTCAAACATTGTGGAAGATAGTGTGATGATTCCTCAAAGACCTAGAAGCAGAAATACCATGCAACTCAGTAATCCCATTACTGGGTATATACCCAAAGGAATATAAATTATTCTATTATAAAGTCACGTGCACAGGTATGTTCACTGCAGCACTACTCACAATAGCAAAAACATGAAATCAACCCAAATGCTCCTCAATGACAGACTGGATAAGGAAAATGTGGTACATACACACCATGGAATACTATGCAGCCATACAGGCAAACAAGATCATGTCCTTTGCAGGGACATAAATGGAGCTGGAGGCCATTATGCTTAGCAAACTAATGCAGGGTCAGAAAACCAAATACCACATGTTCTCACTTAAAAGTAGGAGCTAAGGGCCGGGTGCGGTGGCTCACGCCTGTAATCCCCAGCACTTTGGGAGGCTGAGGCAGGTGGATAACCTGAGGTCAGGAGTTCAAGACCAGCCTGACCAATATGGAGAAACCCAGTCTCTACTAAAAATACAAAATTAGATGGGCACGCTGGCACATGCCTGTAATTCCAGCTACTCGGGACGCTGAGGCAGGAGAATCGCTTGAACCTGGGAGGTGGAGGTTGCCTTGAGCCAAGATCGTGCCATTGCACTCCAGCCTCGGCAACAAGGTGAAATTCCATCTAAAAAAAAAAAAAAAAAAAAAAAGTAGGAGCCAAGTGATGAGAACACATGGACACACGGTAGGCAACAACACACACTGGGGCCTGTGAGATGTGATACTGGGAGAGGGAGAGCTAATGGATTCTGGGCTTAATACATAGATGATGGGATGGTCTGTGCAGCAAACCACCATGGCACATGTTTACCTATGTAACAAACCTGCACATCCTGCATTTGTACCCATAAACTTAAAGTTGGAAATGCATAAAAAAGAAACAAATTACAAATGCTAACATAGACCAAAGCAGATATAGACCTTTCAGTCTACAGTAATTTAATAATGACACCCTTTATTGGCTATAAAAATATGACAGATATGCAAAATTGTTACTTACTAATAACCCTGCAGAATATTATGTTAAAAATAAATACTTTTCAGCTGTGAAAATATCGGCAACATAAAAGGAATTTTCTTACCAAACTCTATAACTTAGGGGTAAAAATAAGAGTCAAAGAACAGAAGAGGAACCAGTGGAGTCTCCTGAGCAGTCATTGGTGAAAATTTTTCTATGTTGAGTGCTAAAAGATTTTATTCAATTGTGTTTTACCATGAAACTTTCAATAAAATGTAAATAAAAACCCTATCCCAGAACATTTTCTCTTATTTGTAGAATCTACACAGTTTAGAACTGCACATGCCCCTCAATGTCATCAACGCATTCCAAGAGCCAAATGGCAGACGTGCCATGCTGACTGAGAATGCCTCCCCTGCCTGTATGGCTGCACATCATGACCATGTATGTAGAATCCCATCAGTTACAAAATTCTCTGTTGGCACAGCCTCTTCTGGCAGTGGCCAAATGGTTGCTCCTGAATTCACACTTATAGAAAAGCCAGGCAGCCTTCTTGACTGTGATGGCGTAACTCATAGGCAAGCTAAGATGAGCTCAGAGGTACTATATCTTCATGCACATCACAGACTAGTTCAATTAAGTGTCAATTTTGTTATTAAATGGAGGAGGTTACTAGTTGTGATGGTCATTAGCCTCCATAAATTGACTGTTTCTGAGTCAACACTTTCAGGTAAATGGCCCTCATCAGCTTCTAACCATAGACTTCAATACAGCATCAATCATTGCACCACTCTCTCATCAAGCACATCTCTGAGCAATGCCTTCTGTTTCCTTAGAGCCATTCCCTTCCTGAGCACCTCAAAGAGCTTTGTGGAGTGAGCAGATCAAGTTCACTTGCAAGATTTTCTTTTCCCATTATGTTCTTTTTAAAAGCCATGTCAACCTATTTTATTTCTCAAGATGTTCCACTCTCTGAGACTTACAGAAAGTTGCAAAGATTTCAGAAATTTTGCCAGATTATTACAGTCTTTAGCCTTGTTGGTAGAGCCTATTATCCTGAAAGCCCAAGTACTCACTTTGCTCACATTATTCCTCTAGTGAACTATGTAGATAACAGTGTAGATATAATTTAATATAAACTGTCACATTTAATTCACACACAACAACCCAGTATAACAGCTATTATTATCTCCTTTTAAATATAAGGGTCAGGTTAAAAAAGTTTAGATAATTAACTGTTTTCAAAACTTTTGTTCACTCTACTGTGCCCATATTTTTACTTATGATACGTGAGAATACAAGAAAATGATCTTAAACAAAAGCATTGGAGAAGTAACAGACAGATCCCCTCGAATGCTAGGGCTGTTCTGGTGCAAGTTAAAGGTGATTCCACCTTTTTCCCATATGGCCCAGCTTTATGTTTTCTCATAATCTTCTTCAAAGTATCTATATGCCCTTTTATTTTTCTCTTCTGTTCATAGGCGTTTTGTGATAGGTATAATTACCAACAATGAAAAATATCCCCTTTTCAGTCATATACATATGAAATGCCACACAAACTATTGCCACAATTTGATTCTCGGAGCTTGTTAATGGAGGGAGATTAAAACAATGCTGACTCCTGATTTTTTATTGAATTAATCTGTGGTCCAATTGCTCAATGATGGTCAGCAGCGCTATTCCGCATTTAATGACTCGGACCATTGCAAAGTACTATTGCTAGCAATTATATATTTTATATAGTAATAATATTTATATTTACTGAATATCAAAAATGTCCTGATTGATATGCTCTGAAGATAAAATACATCAAAATAAAAATGTAAACATATAAACTCACACTTATGTTTGTAGCAAAGTGGCTCTCAGACCTTCAGGTTAATGCCTTCTTTTAAGAAAATAAAAATATTTTAAAATCTCTCCTTTCCTTCTTGAAATGAAATGTATAGCTGCTATAAAATGCAGATATATATAAAATAAATGTAATGCATTAACTTTAATAGAAGAGATAAATAAACAATTAATGTCTTAGGTCAGGTTCCCTAGAAGCAGAGTCTGGCACAGGGACTTGGGCATATGTAATTTACTGAGGGCGTGCTTTCAGGAGAAAGGGAGAGGGGGATGCAGGAAAGGAGAGAAGTAGGAGCTGCATAGGGATGTGCACCTCTCAGCTGGAAAACAGCCTCAGCCCCATACTACAAAGTGCTCTAGAACTGCATCATCCAATACAGTAGCCACTAGATGTTTGTGCCTGCTGTGCATCTGAATGTGGCTAAGGTGACTTAAGAATTGAACTATTTTATTTTAAGTAAAATTTAAAATTTGCTTTATTCAGTGATTGAAAAATGTTTACATATCTTTGGAGAAACCTGAATTCATGAGCCTACTTTTTCAATTGTAAGTTTTATAAAATCGAAATCCAGATCAAATGTTTCCAGTGAAAATTTAGTTGTCAATTTGACAATTGAAATTGAAAATTTCAGATATGACCTATATTTTTATTAGGGAGCAGTGTTCTGGAGTAATGCTATCCAGTAGAACTTCTGGTAATGTTGGAAATATGCTATGCCTGCACTGTTGAATACTCTAACCACTGCCACGCATGGCCCTTGAGCCCAGGTCATGTAGCTAGTGAGAATGAGAACTACAATTTTAATTTTAATTAGTTTAAATATAAATTTAATAACCACATGTGGCTAGTGACTACCACATTAGATATTGCTGTCAGACCGTAACTGAAGGATTGGTCATACTTTAAGGCAAAAGGCTGGGTGTTTTAACCTTAATGGCAGCCAGTCATTGGCTGAGGACTTTCTCTGATGGGCAGAGGGAGGTCCCATTTCAGCCAAAGGCAATTCATTTAAGGGAATATATTTTTAAAATTTTTTGGGTACATACTAGGTGTATATATTAATGGAGTATATGAGATACCCTGATACAGGCATGCAAGTTGTAATATTCCACAATGGAAAACGGGGTATCCATCCCCTAATCATTATCCTTCATGTTACAAACACTCCAATTATATTCTTTTACTTATTTTAAAAAGCACAATTAAATTATTATAAAATATAGTCACCCTGTTGTGCTATCAAATACTAGGTCTTATTCATTTCTTCTATTTTTATTTTTTACCCATTAACCATCACCACTTTCCCCCTACATGCACTCCACTGCCCTTCTCAGCCTCTGGTAACCATCCTTCTACCCTATCTCTGAGAGTTTAATTGTTTTGACTTTTACCTCCTACAAATAAGTGGGAATATGTGATATTTTTCTGTGCCTGATTTATTTCACTTAACATAATGACCTCCAGTTCCATCAATGTTGTCACAAATCACAGGATCACATACTTTTTACGGCCACATAATACTCTCTTGTATGTACGTACCACGTTTTCTTTATCCAATCATCTGCTGAAGGACACTTAAGTTGTGTCCATATCTTACAAATTGTGAACAGTGCTGCAACAAACATGGGATTGCAGATATCTCTTTGATATACTGATTTTCATCTTTTCTCTTTCTTTTCTTTTCTTCTTTTCTCTTTCTTTTCTTTTCTTCTTTTCTCTTTTCTTCCAATTTCTTTTCTCTTTTCTGTGTATATACCCAGCAGTGGGATAGCCGGATCATATAGTAGCGCTATTTTCAGTTTTTTGAGGAAACCAAACCATTCTCCAAAGTGATTGTACCAATTTACATTCCCACCAACAATGTACGGGGGTTCCCTTTTCTCCACATTCTCAGCAGCATTTCTTATTGCCTGCGTTTTGGATAAAAGCCATTTTATCTGAAGTGAGATGATGTATCATTCTAGTTTTAATTTTCATTTCTCTGATGATTATTTATGAAAAGTGCCTTTTCATATGCTTGTTTGCCATTTGTATGTCTTCTGTCAAGAAAATGTCTATTCAAACCTTTTGTCCATTTTTATTGGATTATTGGATTTTTTTTTCGTATACAATTGTTTGAGTTCCTTTTATACTGTGGTGATTAATCACTTTTCAGAAAAGTAGTTTGCAAATATTCTCTTCCATTCTGTGGGTTGTCTCTTCACTTTGTTGGTTGTTTCTTTTGCTGTGCAGAAGCTTTTTAACTTGATGTGATCCCCTTTGTCCATGTTTGCTTTGGTTGCCTGTGCTTGTGGGGTGTTACTCAAGAAATTTTTGCCCAGACCAATGTCCTGGAAAGTTTCCTCAGTGTTTCCTTGCAGTAGTTTCATAGTTGGGGTAATAGATTTAAGTCTTTAATTCACTTTGTTTTGATTTTTTTATATGGTGAGACCTAGGGGTCTAGTTTCATTCTTGTACATATGGATATACAGTTTTCCCAGCTCCACTTATTGAGGGGACTGTTCTTTCCTCAATGTATGCTCTTGGCATCTTTGTCAAAAATTAGTTCACTATAGGTGTTTGAATTTTTTTCTGTGTTCTCTCTTCTGTTCCATTAGACTATGTGTGTTTTTATGTCAGTACCATGCTGTTTTGGTTACTATCACTCTGTAGTATAATTTGAAGTGAGGTAGAGTGATTCCTTCAGGTTTATCCTTTTTGCTCAGGATAGCTTTTCCCACTCTGGGTTTTTTGTGGTTCTGTATAAATTTTACAACTGTTTTTTTCTATTTCTGTGAAGAATGTCATTGGTTTTTTGATAGGGATTATACTGAATCTATAGATAGTTTTGGGTAGTACAGACGTTTAAACCATATTGATTCTTCCAATCCATGAACCTGAAATATTTTTTCTTCTTTGTGGTTCATTTCCATTTCTTTCATCAGTGTTTTACAGTTTTCAATGTAAAAATCTTTTACTTCTTTTGTTAATTTAATTCCAAAGTATTTAATTGTATTTTTGCCTACTGTAAATGGGATTACTTGTTTGATTTCTTTTTCAGATTGTTCACTGTTGACACACAGAAATGCTATAGATTTTGTATGTTGATCTTGTACTGTGCAACTTTACTAAATTTGTCTATCAGTTCTAATAGATTTTCAGTGGAGTCTTCAGGTTATAACAAATATAAGATCAAGCAATCTACAAACAAGGATAATTTGACTTCTTCCTTTGTAGTTTGTATGCCCTTTATTTATTTCTCTTGGCTGATTGGTCCCACTAGGATTTCCAGTAATATATTGAATAACAGTGGTGAAAGTGAGCATCTTTTTCACATTCCAGATTTTACAGGAAAGGCTTTCAGTTTTTCCCAATTCAGTATTATATTACCTGTGTGTCTGTCATATACAGCTTTTATTATGTTGAGGTACGTTCTTTCTGTACCCAGTATTTTGAGGATTTTTATCTACGAAAGGTTGTTGAATTTTTAACAAATCCTTTTTCAGCATCAAATAAAATGATCATATGGGTTTTTTCTTTTATTCTCTTGATATGATGTATCACCTTGATTGATATGCAAATGTTGAACCAACCTTGCATCCCTGAGATACATCTCACTTGGTCATTATAAATGATTTTTTAGATATATTGTTGAATTTGGGTTGCTAGTATTTGGCTGATAATTTTTGCATCAATATTAATCAGAGATATTGGCCTGCAGTTTTCTTTTTTTGATGTGTCCTTTTCTGGTTTTGGTATCAAGGTAATACTGGCTTCTAAGAATGAGTTTGGAAGTGTTACCTCCTCCTCTATTTTTTGGAATAGTTTGAGTAGGATTGGTAGTACTTCTTCTTTAAATGTTTGGTAGAATTCATCAGTGAAGCCAATGCGCCCTGGGCTTTTCTTAACTGGGAGAATTTTTATTAGAGCTTCAATCTCATTACTTGTTATTGATCTGTTTAGGTTCGGATTTCTTCCTTCAATCTTGGTAGATTGTATGTGTCTGGGAATTTATTCATTTTCACCAGATTTTCTCATTTATCATTTGTTGGCATACAGTTAATCATAGCAGCCACTAATAATCATTTGAATTTCTGCAGTATCAATTATAATGTTTTTTTTAATCTCCAATTTCTTTATTTGGGTCTTTTACTTTTTTTTGTCTGCCTAAAAGTTTGCCAATTTTTTTCTCAAAAAACTAACTTTTCATTTTGTTGATTTTTTGTATTATTTTCTTCATTTCAGATTAATTTATTTCTGCCCTGATTCTTTATTTACTTATTTATTTATTTTGCCTCTCATAATTTGGGGTTTAGTTTTCTCTTGCTTTTCTATTTTTTTAAATGATTGGTTAAGTTATTTATTTGATGTTTTTCTTATTTTTTGATGTAGGCAGTTATAGCTATAAATGTCCCTCTTAGTATTGCTTTTGCAGTATCCCATAGGTTCTGGTATGTCGTATTTTCATTTTCTTTTGTTTCAATAATTTTTCAATTTCCTTCTTAATTTCTTCATTGACTCACTTATCATTCAGGACCATATGTTTAATTTCCATGTGTTTGTATAGTTTCCAAAATTCCTTGTTATTCATGTCTAGTTTTATTCCACTGTGGTCAGAGAAGATGCTTGATATTATTTCAATTGTTTAAATGTTCATAAAACTTGTTTTGTGACCTAACATATGGCATATCCTTGAGAATGATCCATGTGCTGAGGAGAAAAATGTGTATTCTGCGGCTGTGGGATAAAATGTTCTGTAAATATTCATTAGGTTCATTTGTTCTATAGTGCCAAATTAGTCCAATGTTTCTGTGTAGATATTTTGTCTGGAAGATCTGTCCAGTGCTGAAAGTGGGGTGTTGAATCTCCAGCTATTATCATATTGCGGTCTATTTCTTGCTTTAGCCCTAATAATATTTACTTTATATATCTGGGTGCTCCAATGTCATGTTCATGCATCTTCAGAATTGTTATATGCTCTTGCTGAATTGATCCCTTTATCACTATATAATGCCTTTCTTTGTCTCTTCTTACAGTTTTAAATTTGAAATCTAGTTTGTATGATATAAGAATAGCTAGTGCTGCCCTGTTTATGGTTTTCATTGGCATGGAATATCTTTTTTCATCCCTTTATTTTCAGTCTATGTGTGTCTTTATAATAGGTGAAATGTGTTTCTTGCAAGCAACGGATCATTGGGTCTTGCTTTTTTATTCATTCAGCCATTCTATGTCTTTTGATTTGAGAGTTTAGTCTATTTACATTCAATGTTACTATTGATAAATAAGAACTTACTCTTGATAATTTTTTTTTATTGTATTGTGGTCTTCTCTTCCTTCTTCCTTTCTGTCTTCTTTTTGGTGAAGGTGATTTTTTTTCTGTTGGTATAATTTAATTTCTTGTTTATTTTTTTTGTGTATTTATTGTATGTTTTTCAATTTGCAGTTACCATGACGTTTCCAAATACTGTCTTATAACCTATTATTTAAAACTGACGACATCTTAACACTGATTGCATAAGCAAACATCAAAAAGAAAATAAAAACTCTACCCTTTAACTTCATCCCCTACTTTTCAACTTTTTTTATTTCTCTTTATGTCTTAGTCTATTGTCTGTGTTTTGAAAAGTTGTTGCAGTTATTATTTTTGATTAGATCATCATTTAATCTTTCTACTTAAAATAACAGTAGTTTATACACTGCAGTTACAGTGTTATAATAGTCTGTGTTTTTCTACGTGGCATTACCAGTGAATTGTATACCTTCAGATGATCTCTTATTATTCATTAATGTCCTTTTCTTTAAGACTGAAGGACTCCCTTTAGCATTTTTTGTAGGAGAGGTCTGGTGTTATTGAAATCCCTCAGCTTTTGTTTGTCTGGGAAAGTATTTATTTCTCCTTCATACTTGAAGGATATTTTTTGCCAGATATATTATTCTACAGTAAAAAGGTGTTTATTTTTCCTTAAGCATTTTAAATATGTCATGCCACTCTCTCTTGGGTCTGCAATGTTTCCACTGAAAAGTCTGCTGCCAGATATATTGCAGCTCCATTGAATGTTATTTGCTTTTTTTCCCTTTTTGCTTTTAGGATTCTTTATTTTTGACTTTTGGGAGTTTGATTATTAAATGCCTAAGGTAGTATTCTTTGGATTAAATCTGCTTGGTGTTCTGTAACCTACTTGTACTTGCATATGGATATCTTTCTCTGGGTTTGGAAAGTTCTTTGATGTTATATCTGTGAATAAACTTTCTACCTCAATTTCTCACTCTACTTCTCTTTAAGGCCAATAACTCCTAGATTTGTCCTTTTGAGGCTATTTTCTAAATCTCGTATGCATGATTCATTCTTTTTATTCTTTTTTCCTTTGGTTCCTGTGACTGTGTATTTTCAAATAGCGTGTCTTGAAGCTCACTAATTCTTTCTTCTACTTGATCAATTCTGCTAGTAAGAGACTCATACATCCTTTAATATGTCAATTGCATTTTTAAACTCTAGAATTTCTGCTTGTTTCCAATAATTTCAATCTCTTTGTTAAATTTATCTGATAGAATTCTGAATTATTTCTCTGTGATCTCTTTAATTTCTTTGAATTTCCTCAGCAAAGCTAATTTGAATTATCTGCCTTAAAGGTCACATATTGCTGTTTCTCCAGGATTAGTCCCTGGAGACTTATTCAGTTCATTTGGTGAGGTTATGTTTTCCTGGATAATATTGATGCTTGTGGCTGTTCATTAATGTCTAACCATTGAAGAGGTAGGCTTTATTGTAGCTTTTGCAGCCTGGACTTGTTTGTGCCCATCCTTCTTGGGAAGGCTTCCCAAGGATTAAAGGGGAATTGGGCCCCAAACTCAAAATGCTGTGATTCTGGCAGACTTGTAGAGATACTAACTTGGTGGTCTTAGATACGATCTGGAAGAATTTTCTAGACTGCCAGGCAGAGACTCTTGTTCTTATCTCTTACTTTCTCCCAAACAAACAGAATCTCTCTGTGCTGTGCTACCTGGACCTGGGAGTAAGGGGACATGATCATCCTTGTGGCCACCAGCACTGAGACTGCACTGAGTTACACCTGAAGCCAGCAGAGCACTGGGTCTCACCCAAGGCCCACTGTAACCAGTACCTGTCTACCACCTATGTTCACTCAAGGCTCTGGGGCTCTCTGATCAGCAGGCGGTGAAGCCAGCCAGGTGAGTTACCCCAGACCCCAGGCAGGTTCAGAGATGCTGTTCAGGAGCCAGGTATTAGAGTCAAAACCTTTAGAAATTTACCTAATATTCTATTCTACTGTGGCTAAGCTGGCAATCAAACCACAAGACAAAGTCCTTCTGACTCTTCCCTCTCCCTTCTACAGGCAAAAGAGGCTACCCCTTTGGCCATCACCACCACCAGTCTATGAGGGGTTCTTCCAGGCCATCACCAATGTTGACTTAAAGTCCACGGGTCCTTCAGTCAGCTTGTGGTGAATGCTGCCAGGCCTGGGACTCACTCTTCTGGGAAGTGGGTTATGCTATGTCCCAGGGAATGTCCAGAAATCCTGAACAAGAGCCTATTCCTGGACTCAGAGACCCCAAGATCCTCCTTGGTGCTGTGGCCCAGCTAGCACATAAGGTGCAAGGAAGAGTCCCCTTTACTTTTCTCCCTGCTTTTCTCAAACAGAAGGAGTCTTTCACCATAGCCACCACATCTGGGAATATGCTGGGTCACATCTGAAGCCAGCATATCTCAGAGCCCAAGGCCCATAGCATATTACCTGAGTATTATTGTTGGTTATTCAAAGCCCAAGGGCTCTTTAGTCAGCAGGTGATGAATACTGCCAGGACTGGGTCCTTCCCTTTAAGGCAATGAGTTCCCTTTTGGACAAGGGTTTGTCTAGAAATGTCATCCATGAGCTAGGGCCTGGCAAGGGAGGCTTTATGACTCTGCCTGGTTCCCTAACATACTGTAGCTGAGCTTGTATCCAAAACACAAAATGGAGTCCTCTTTACTCTTCACTCTGCTCTCCTTAAGCAGAAGGAATGAGTCATTTTTATTACTGCAAGCTGTACTGCCTGGGGCTGGGAAAGAGATGGCACAAACTTGCCTTTACACATGCCAGGTGATATCTCTGTAAGTCATGTGCCACCATGGTCCATGATCTCTAAGTCCAGTCCACCACTAGGAATTAACTAAGAATTACAGTCCTTGTGTCCTAGACTGCCTTTTGAGTTTACCTAGAACTCTAGAGCACTTTACCTTGTGTTGGTGAGGACTGCCAACTGATTGCAACTCAACTTCCAGCCACTTGGATGTGTGATGGGTGATTCCCCTCTGGATAGGTCTGGTGCAAATGTTCTCTCTGAGTGCACGTGCTGGCTGAGCCCAGCATCGCTTTGCTCTCCACTATAACAGGGCAGCACTGAGTTCAATTTAAAGTCTCACAATCTCTGTGCTCTCCCTCTCCCAAGCAGATTTCTCCATGCCATGTGGCCACCGCTGGGCTATGGGGACAAAGTGACATAAGCACTTCCTTAGCTGCCTCATCTGGTATCTCAGTAGGTCATGGGCCACCCCCAGTCCACTGGCTCTGAACCCACTTCAGCACTAGCACTTGCCTAGGAATTGCATTCCTTGTGGCCTAGACTGTTATTCAAGTTCCTTAGGGCCTCAGAGTACATTAGCCTGTGGTTGCAAGACTTGCCAGAACTCAGGGTCTGACTGCTGGGATGGGCAATTCTCTTCTGGCTAGGGCAGGTTCAAATGCTCCCTCTATGGGTGGGCATCAGCTGGGTACAACTGGTTCTGCTTTCTGCTGTGACAGGGCAGCACTGAGTTAAAGTCCCCTAGTATCTGTGCTTTTCCTGTCCCATGTGCACACGTTCTCTGTGCCCAGTGGCTGCTGCTGGGGGATAGGGGAAGGTTGACTTTTGTGATTCAAGATAGTCTCTTCTACCCCTTTTCAGTGCCTCTTTTAGCATTATGAAGTTTAAGCAAGGTACTGTGAGTGCTCACCTGATTTTTGGTTCTATTGATGATGCTTTCTGTGTGTAACTAGTTGTTAAAATATGGTATTTTTGCACAGGATAGGCCACTTTGCTCCATCTCCTGAAATGATTTTTTAAATGGTTAGCAGTCAACTTCCATAGCAGCTAGGGTGTGGGGGTATAGGGGTATAGGCTATTAAGGGGAAGATGAGCAGTGCAGCATCCACTGTGGGAAAAAAATTTTCATTAAATAATACATTCAGTATATAAATCAACAAATAAAATATTCAGACATTTGAACCCATTCACAGAATTATTGTGAATGTGACAACATCCATAATTATGAATTACTATGAATGTAGGGGAACACAGGACAATTATGTGGAGTTTCAAATCCCATAACCATTGCTCCTTTCGTTAACATAATTCTTCTAAAACCGATAAATCTTGTGAAAATTCTGAATTAAAACAGGCACTGTTTCTTCAAATGCCACAGTAATTACATTTTCAAAAATTCAGTCTACATTAAAACTATGTAAAAAAAGGTGCTTGTCACTAAACCAGAGTCAGGTTCTAGGACTGAATGATAAACAAGGCTTTCACCTTTAGAATATCTAGAGGGATATTTGAAAGTTGTGAGCAACTTTATAATATTCTTAATTTTGTGATTCTGTCAACATTAATGATTCTCCTGACTCAAACACTAATGCCAGTAACAACGTCTCCCAATCATTAGGACACACAAAATTCTCTCATCAGAAATTTCCAACCTGCTTCCCTGAAATTTCCAAAATATCTCTAGGTTATGATACAACCCAACCAAGGACTATTAGTATAGGCAAATTAATCTTTAGTTAATGAAGTGGGGACATGCTTATGTTTCATGATTAAATATCCCACATTTTCCAGTTACATTCCAAGGGCACCCTAGAAAGACTCAAACACACACACATATTCCCATTCAACACATACACATGTACACATAGGGGAGAAGAGTGTTGGGAAAAGTATGGGACTAGTATAATAATATAAGAGCTACCAAAATGCTATATATCACTAAGTAGATGCATGTTACTTTGTAAATCTAAAATGGAATCTCAAGTTCTATTTACTGGTCTAATTATTATGCTTTCATATATACTTATAACAGAATTATGTAATTGATTTCTAAAAATTTCAGATAGCATCCAAGAAGAGTGTCAATTAGAACATAACGACATTCTAACATTATGGACAAAGATGTAGAAAGTATAATAATTAACAGAGAGGGAAATGGTCAAAATAAATTTAGAGAATGAACTGCTTTTCTTATTATACCATATTTGCAAAGCGAGTTGCAATAGTTGACCTCCCTTGGACTCAAAATTGTAGCCATTTGGATTAGTTCTTCTCTTAACAATTATAATAATAATTCAAAAACTTATTTGGGCAGTCATACTACATTGAAAAGTGTCCATAAAAACTCTTGGGGTCGTCGAGTAAATAATAATCTGGCTTTCCCTTTTTGGTGCATCTATGTTATCATGTGTGTCTTAAAGAATATAATGCAAACAACTTTGAAATTCAAACTCAACCCTGAGTTTCTCCCAAAAGAAAATGGAGAGCAAAAAGGAGAGGTACAGAAGGAAAACAAGATTGTCATCTCGTTAGGCAGAGGATTGAAGAAAAATGTATTGGAATATGTTTATCATGCCTAACTGCCTCCACAGACTGCATATACTTGCCTTATAACCTGGACATGCTGAAAAAGGCTTTTAGCTACTGCATAAATTATTTTTCCTTGAGAAGAAGCAATAAAGAACCAGAGGAGTCTCAGCAGGCTGAAGTATCCAGACGAAGCTAGATTTATGGGGAAATAACTGTTACTAATAATTATAATAATTACTACTCAGAGAAAAAGATATCCTTCATTAAAATCACCTCCTTTTCTTATGCTCTGAACATCATTTCCTGTGTCTTCTTTGAATACATTTTCACAATTTTCATCAACTTCCCACAACCATTTAACTTGCTATCCTGTCTTCCCTTCTAATTTTTCCTATATATTCTTTCCAGATTGATCTTAAATTGCTCTCTTTAGTCACTCCAGGGGAAAAATATTTAAAATATGAATCATACCAAGTTTAAGTCATCTAGTTTGCTTTTGAAGTCCTTAACGGTTTGTTCTATCCAATATTTTCATCTGTATTTTTTAATATTCCCTGAAATGAGTTCTTCCCACTGTTCTACTCAAGCCTATGTGCTAAATGTAGTTACCAAATTCTAACGAGACAGCTTCAAGTATAGTGGAGGAATATTCTGGATCCTCTACTTAGGAATCTAACGTCAAATTAGTTCACTATTGTGCTCTTAAGTTACAGTGTTATCATGTCATTTTACTATTTCTTATCTTTTGAATAGAGTGACCAGGAATAACTAGATATGTCATTTGTCAAGAATCTTTACCTTACTTTTTGTCACTGCTGTGGAGGATCAATATAACTTACATATTCAACTGAAATATTGATGTTCTATGGTTGTATGGACAGGAAATTACTTGAGTGTCAAGCAGTTGAGCTAAATGTCACAAGAAGACAGGTGTTCAAAAGGACGGGGTGTTCCAGGACAAACGTTTGAAAGTTAAAGATAAAAATTTTAAAGGACAAGCCTAATTCTCCCATTTTTTCCAATAATGATTTCTATAATTGTGATCAGAAAATGTAAGATGTTACCATGTTACAATGCAGTTCAGTTTAGGAAAATATTTTGAAAGCTTACCTTAGAAGAACGCTTAACCTTTGGCCTTACTATCTTACGTTGGAGCTAGTATGGAGACATCAACAGCTCCAGTTCCCATAGTATCCAAAAGAGCTTCATGAAATCTCCTAAATTTCCTGAGCCAGACTAGTTGTTCTTTTTATTGTTTTTAAGTATCTACAGAACTCCAAAGAGACGCTATTACCATAAAAGTAATCATAGACACTCACACATTTCATGTATGCTGAATCTTATTATGTTTCCTCATGCTTTTTTTCTTCCATCTGGAATATTACTAGGACTCTTCAGTACCAATCAAAGCCCTATAAATTATTTGAGGATTAGCTCAGTCTTGCTTTTTTGGTTTGTTTTCATGAGTTTCTATTAAATAAGAAAGATGATTTGGTTAACAGAATGGAAACCAATGAAAGTACAAGTTGTTTTACCTTGTATAATGCCCCAAAATAAAGAAAACTTTATAAAGGATTCAAACCCAAGGTTAAGTATTCAGACTACCCCTTCCTTTCCTTGCTTTTCTTTGAAATCTTCTCTGCTTATCTTTGAAAATCTATTCAGTCTCTTTATTGTATAATAAAGCATATGTCTGATATTTGTCCCTAGTTCCTGGGAGATAACCTCTAAATTCTTGGAATTTCCCAGATAATATGAGTATCTTTGTTGTTCACGGTTAGTCCTTAGATCATACCTGAGTCTGTGCTGAGGAGATGACTCAGGATAGGGCCAGAAAGATGAATCACGTGATTAGAGGGTTACAGCTTCTAGCTACTTGGTATCAGCCTAACCTCTCAACTGCTGGGAGAATAGAAGGGCTAAAGGGTGAGTTGAATCACATGGTCAAGGATTCAATCAATAATGCCTACATAATGAAGCTCCACCAAAAACTCTAGACACTGAGCTCAGTAGAGCTTCCTGGTTAGGGAAGACATGATATGCTGGGAGGGTAATGAACCCTTATTCCACGGGGAAAAGACACTGAAGCTCTGTATTCTGAACCCTCTCAGACCTTGCCTTGTGTGTCTCCTCATTTGGCTGGTCCTGACTTGAATCCTTTATAATAAAAATGCCACCACAAATTTAGTGCTTTTCTGAGTCCTGTGAGTCATTCTAGTAAATTATTGAACATGAGGCAGTTGTTAGTGGGAACCTCCAAATTTGTAGCCAGTTGGTCGGAAGTATTGGTTGTCTGGGGATACCTGAAGTGCAGCAGGTATCTGAAGTGAGAGTCATCTTGTGAACTGAGCCCTTAACTCACGGGGTCTGCAGTAACTCCAGTAGGTTAGAGCCAGCACTGAATTGCAGTACACCAGTTGATGTCAGAATACTCATACTTCTCTTTTCAGGTCTGATACTTCTGCCTGTATATTGCTATTTTACTCTCCCATAACTTTGGTTTACATGAGCCCTTAGCTTGATAGCCACCTTTGGAATATTTTAATCTCTTTTGTTGAGGCATAACGACTGCCAGAGCCTACTTTCTATCTTTTCAACTGCACAGGCAAACCTCACTGACCACTGACAGTATTTTGCTCAATTTTGACGAATCAGTGGATTTAGACTAAGTAAAGAACTATTTTCTTGCTTAGAGGAACTTTTAAGTGGCAAACAGTGTTTTCTGCATCCTCTTCTCAAAGGTTCAACATCTAATACAAAGATTTTCCCTGCATATCTTGTGGGTCCATTTTTATCCCTTAGTGTTCTGAAAATGAAAGCAACATTTCATTGCTTTCCAGATGAAAATGAGTGCATTCAGCCCATTAAAAACACACAATATAATCTAAAATCAATACTTTTATGTGACAGTATGAAGCATTTTTATATTAATAAATGTATTAACAGTATTGGTTCTAAATCTGAACCTTCTTACTATGGGATATAAAGTCCTGCTCCCCAACAAACCTGTTTATATACAAACTGTGTACTTCCAAGTCCTCCATTGAGCAAAGTGTAATAATTTTCTCATCAATCAAATAGGGAACAAACCAAAACTTTTGGTTTAGTGAATCACAAAGGAAAAGACTCCTTAGTTCAGTTCATATGTCGCAAATTTTAAATCAAAGGGTATTATAGCTGTTTGAATGCCCAGCTAAGATCCGAAGACAAAGTCTCATTGAAAAGTGGATATGTCAATGCTGTGAGCAATAAGAAAGACAAACTCTCCTCATCTAATTTGTCCCTCCTCAATAACACATGACTTTGGAGATCAGTTCCTTATGTTTAAATGCTTCAGTCTCTTAGTGTCTCTGAGCTTGATCTCCTGAAAGACAGGGAATATGGTTGGCCCAGCTCGCACACTATCAGTTCAATCCACTGTGAATAAAGAAGCTGGGATTACCTTGTACCAGTATCGTCACATCAGTTTACCAGGCATTTTAAGGTGGGAACTCAAAAGGCTTGGAGGCAAAAAGTATTATGATTACAACTGCCCAAAGACTTACCTCATAATGTATTTTTTTATTATTATTGTTGCTGTTGTTGTTATTTGTTAGGTTTCCTATAAGTATCACCTCCATAGTTTAATGTGGAATATTTTACATTCATCATCCAGGACGGACACAGTATAGGCCTCGCAATAGATGATTAATAAATCATTGGTGATAGGTTATTAGAAAATGAGATTATACTTAAATATTTGTCCATGGTGAGGATTTGGGAGACGATTGTTTAAAAAGGCTCTGGAAAACACATAACATTTTATCAAAATGTATCACTATATGTGCCAAAACATGTGAAATGCAAAACATAGGAAACTGAGAACTGGTGTGATATGGTAAAAAGGGCCTGCAGTTAACGAGGTAAAAGACTGAGATGCAATTTCTAGGTCATTCTTAACTATTTTTATGTCTATTATCAAGTTATTTTCGGATCTTCAGTTTCTTTATTGGTAAGTAAGAGATTTGGGGAAAATGGATTTCAAGTTGCCCTTAAATAATTCCCTATAGATACAAAATGTTATGTCATCTAGTGTAATAATTTCAATGCTGTCAGTTAATATTAAAAAATATCAGTGTTCTAGAAGTATAATGAAAGAAGGCATGAAGCAAGAAATTTTTAAAAGACATGTATTTATTGTGCCCTCTAATTTTTATTATGTATTTGTTAAGGTATTCTTATTTATATTATTTAATTTTATCCTCATAAATATTCCATCAAAACTGGCTTAAGCATTCAATGAATATATTGGATTGCATAATTGAAAAGTCTTTCGGGCATGGCTTAGATTCAGAGTCTAACAAAACAGCATTCAGGTGTATTGATCAGCTAGCTGTGCTCTTCCATGGGTTGCCTTCATTTTCAGAAGGGTGTTTCCCTTCAGAGCGGCATGATCACAGTAGCAGATCCTGCCTACCATCCTGCAGTCTCACCACGTGAAAAACAAAAAAAAGAGCAACTTAGAACCAAGATTTTGGGGATACCACATGCCCAAATCAGACCCTATGTTTATCCCTGAATCAGCCACAGTTGCCCAATTAATAAAATGCATTGATTTGTTCTCAATCGATTTGCTGCATCACAAGTAACATAAAATACATAAAAAGAGTAGAAAAAAGTGAAAGAAACTCCAGGCCCTATTTCTGGAATTAGAAAGCAGAAGTTAGACAGAATAGTGGATTCATTCATTCAACAAATGTTTAATGGCCACTGTCCATAAGCTGGACACTCTACTAGGATCTGGGGATATTGCACTAAATGATTAGACAATGTCTTTGGCTTTCATGCAGATCAGGTTAGTGAGACCAGGAGATAGAAAAACCTATTTTGAGAGTTGATTACTATTTGCTTCTCCAGGATCCCAGAGAGAAGGCAAATGCATTGAAGTAGGCCCCATATTTTATGCCACATTTCCCACAGATTTCCCACATTTTAAATTCATAAGCAGCACGGGAACCAGAGGCTAAGAAGCTGTGTTGAAAGTGGTGCCTAAAATATGTTTTAATAGAATGGAAATGTAGACATAATTCAAGATGTACAATGAGGCTAAATGGAGTTTAAATGTTTACTTTTCTAGCTTCATCAAGAAAGTGTTACAAGTAAAGATTGATTGAAAGCACTTCAAATTTCTACATAGAAGCTATAATGTCCTTTACACTATTTAAAAATCCAATTGTTCTATTTCTTACTCTTTATTTTTAATAGTTTATTCTGTTTTCTACATTATGTATATGCATAATTTTGTTTTTCTTTTTTGGCCTCTATAACCATGTAGCTTACAGTCAAAGTGATATGATTTAACAACTTAACTACTCTCACTAGCATATTTTTTCTATTCCAGAGAATTCTTGCCCAGGAAAATAAAACTGTAAATAACTTTATTGTTCATTTTAGGAAGTTCCCATGAAATCATTTAATGAACATCAAATTATTCAACTTCTAAACAGACAATGTCAAAGAACTGTTTGCCACCTAGGATTGCAAGATTTTTATATTCTCAACTTAAAATTCTTACCTTACTGTGTCTGTCAATCCTCAACTATTAAATCATGGACCTTACCTTAATGAAGCCCTTGCTTCAAAAGATCCACCTAAAACCAGGCTCTAAAACCTTAAATCTCTTCTGCTTCTGCTCTTTCTACTTACAGATGCTACTGTGTCTGCAATTGGTTCCTTCCGGTGGGTTCTTGTTCTAGCTGACTTCAAGAACGAAGCCATGGACTCTTGCAGTGAGTGCTACAGTTCTTAAAGATGGCGTGTCTGGAGTTTGTTCCTTCAGATGTTCAGGTGTGTCCGGAGTGTCTTCCTTCTGGTGGGTCTGTGGTCTTGCTGACTTCAGGAGTGAAGCCGCACACCTTCTCAGTGAGTGTTACAGCTCTTAAAGGTGGCGCCTCCAGAGTGGTTTGTTCCTCCCGGTGGGTTCATGGTCTTGCTGACTTCAGGAGTGAAGCCGCAGACCTTCGCAGTGAGTGTTACAGCTCATAAAGGTAGTATGGACCCAAAGAACAAACAGCAGCAAGATTTATTGTGAAAAGCGAAAAAGCAAAGCTTCCACAGCATGGAAGGGAACCCAAGCAGGTTGCCGCTGCTGGCTCAGGTGGACAGCTTTTATTCCCTTATTTGGCCCCGCCCACATCCTGCTGATTGGTCCATTTTACAGAGCACTGATTGGTCCATTTTACAGAATGCTGATCGGCCCGTTTTTACAGAGTGCTGATTGGTGCGTTTACAAACCTTTAGCTAGACACAGAGCGCTGATTGGTGTGTTTACCATCCTTTAGTTAGAAAAGTTCTCCAAGTCCCCACTCAACCCAGGAAGTCCAGCCGGTTTCACCTCTCACTACTAAGACTCTGTCAAGGTAGTGAGCTCCCTTACAAGCTTTGCCTGAAGAGGTGGTTTTGTTGGATTTTTGTGCAGCCAGAGAGAGTTTAACCACTCTGATTCTAACGTGGAGTTTCTGCATATACTTGTTGAAATGCTTTATGAATGAATTGTAGGTTCATTCAGATTTTAAATAGATCACATTTTGTAGTACTGTAGTTAAGCTATAAAAATTCTGTAGCAAATTATCAAGAATCATATTAATAAAACTCTCAAGGCTATATCACTTCCACATGATTTCTGTTGTCTTCTTAAAGAATATTTTAAAGATTTCTGTAGAAAGAAGTGGGTATGGTCTGAAAGGAAATGTGCAAATCATTGGCAGACAAAGAATGAAATTAACATTGACCAATTTGACTACTCATTGATACTTGATGAAAAGCAATGTATCCAGGATTACAAATTTAGATTCTTTATGAACTGTTTTCTGATGAAGTATAGAAAGTCAATCCTCAAAAGCCCTTAAAGGCTTTTGTGCAGTCTTTTATTTTTCTCAGCAGCTGTAAGTGCAAAAAATCCTTGTTGAAATTAATGCAAGATAAGGGGATATCAAAAACACAATCTAGTATCCAAGGAATATTTACTTTAAGCATTTTGGTTCATTTAAGTAACTGCAAGCAATGGCTTGTCTTACTACCTCCTTAAGGGACTTGCCTTCCTAATGCTTAAGCTTATTTTTTGGTGTGTGGTTAAAATGTCAATTTTCCATGATTACATTAATCTCAGTGCCAGGATTAGAACTCAAAATTTAGAGTCTCAGTCTAGAGTCGATAAGAGAAGAATTATAGTATTGACTACTCTGTCTTCCAGAGAGAAATAATGCAAATAGGTATAGCCTTAGGGTCACAAAGTAATACATTGGCCTCTCAAAGTCCTGGTATCTCAGGGGTTTTTTTTGTATAGAGAGAAGGTAAATTCAATGAATAGTTGGCAAAATAAGTGGCAATCTTTAAATTCCAGCAGCAGTCTTTGCCTGTGAGAGAAAAGGATTTTCTCACACAGAAAGAGGGGAAATCCACAATTGCATCCTATGGCAAGGTATTCCAAAGACAGGAGTAGTTCAGATGGAAAAAAAGGACAAAAGGTAGCCAGGTGATTTGGGGCTCGCTCCTACTGGGCAGTTAGACAAAATAGATTGTGAAATGCTTTTGCAAACAACAATGCCCTATAAAAATGCCAGCCCATTAATCATGAATGATTTTAATTACTGTGATATTGATTAGTATAGCAACTATGCAAAATCTAAGCCAGACACTGTGCTTTCCTGAGCTTGCTTTTTTTTCTCTCCTGTTTTATGAACAGCTGGCTTAACCAAAGCCTATTTTAAGACCCAAAAAAGAGCAAATATGAATAAAATAAAGCTGAAGGTTGTAGAGGGGGTACAATGACACGTTACTGAATAAAAGGGAATTCTGGTTTCTCTTAGAAAACTTGGATTTTTCGAAAATGCCTGCAAAATATTATGCCTCTAGGGAATGATTCAGTCAATTTATTATAGTAAATGCATGATTGGTTCTATTTGGTTTTATTTCCTAGATAGAATATTTGTAGTTATTTTAAAAGATATATACGTGATATATTCTTTAAACTATATATGTGCATCTCTGTACTTTGGGGCCTATTCTCTCTGCTTCTGTAGAAACATTGTCTTCCTACACATGCTTTTAGTTCATGCAAATGGCAGTAAAAAAAAGTCCTTTGATTTCAGTGAAATAATATATCTGGTATTATATCAGATTCACATATGAGTATACTACAACTCAGTTGTACAGAGAAGCATAACTTCTTTAATTTTCTATAACTGATCTAATGACCTGTATAAACAACCTACTGCATAGTAATAAATAAAATTTCGATTTAAAAACCTCAAACTTTCCATTTAATATTCTTAATTTCTTTTAGTTTTAAATACTCTCTTAATTCATTGAAGATTTAAGATACATGCTCAGGATTTAAGATTTAAATTTCCTGTCCACATGGCCCCTCAAGATGACCTCTGCATTTCTAGGGTGGGAATTGTAATAGACCTTATGGAGGGTGAAGAAGGAAGATGGCAGAGAGGCCAAAGAAGACTTGATGTTCTTAGAGGTAAGTCCTTACTCTACCTTCCCAAGCAGATTGTTTATGCAACCAGGTCTCATCATTTTTGTGGTCCCTGAATTAATATATCTTGAGATGCTTCCGGTACCAATTAGCATTAAGCTGGTATCTGATGATGAATTCTCAACTTTTCTCCTTTTGTTCATAAAAATCTCTGTACACTGCAATCTCCTCATTCTCAGCTCCAGCTAAAGTATATTAATCTAGCATATCTTTGGTTTCCCACAGGAACATGAAGAAACTTTTGGGTCCTCTGCATTCTCCAGTAGGCTAAGGGGAGCCAGGATCCCTGTCTTAGGCTCATCAATCCAGCCTCTTCCCCAATATTCACTCACAAATCAATCTAATCTCTTCTCTCATGGTCAGACTGGCTCTGAGACAAGTGAGGATCTTCTCATACAGGATTTCAGCCTCTCAGGAGCTCTCCAATGGAAAGCTGGCTTCTCATGAGGGTAGTGAGGTAGGATGAAAAGCAGGAACACTGATGTGAGACTTGCCTAACCCCCTTTCCTGTCTTTCCTACCTTTTCTCAGAAGGATAGTACATTCAAAGCAATAAGCTTAACAGCATATGATAATGCATCTGAAAAAACATACAAAACTAATGTTTCATCTTAATAACACATTTTTATGCCAAAATATGCTAAAGTGCCTTACTTAATCTTCATAGCAACCTTGTAAATAGATACCAATTATAGCCATTATAATGAGAAGTTTCAGTGCTCAAGAAGGGTAAATAATTTTCTAGTATCACACAGCTAATATATGTTATTCATATCCATCTATGTCTGACTTCAGAATGATGTCCTTAAGTTCTATGATCAAATGGAAGAGGGCAAAGAAATGATTCACCCATATATATACCCCCATGGAAAACAAATATCCAGAAAAAGAAGACAAGACCATGCAAACATAAAAACTGAAAACGTGAAGAGTTTTTAAGTTATAACATGATACAATAATTGTCTGTTGTTGGAATTTATAATGCATATGTTGGGCCAATAGCAGTAGGAAAAATCATTTAGCAATTATATAATATTAATGCTTTTTTAGAGTTCCTAAGTAAAGGACATCCATGTGTAGACATAAATAAATTCCTAGATCTTGAATAAAAATATTGATATTAAGTCACTTTGTACTTGAAATATCTAAAGCAGTTTTTATTTCTCACACGAAACTTTAATAAAATACAGAGAGCTGGAAAAGTTCCAGGGAAAGGCCCTAAAACTAGATATGTTGGATGGATTATGTGACCTGGTTTGAAAGAAGTGATTACCTCATCATCAGGGAAAAATGGATTGTAGGTGACCCATGATATGTAGTTGTTCGTAGCACGTAGTTTCTTATCAGTGAGTAGGACTGAGAGTTCAAGTGGCTGCTGCAAATGAGCACTATGATGGCAATGAGAAATACAGAGACTGAGGTGAGCTGGCCTTCTTCTGCTTGAACTGGGTAGCATGAAGAGAGAAAATCATAGCTCAGGGCTGTAAACACTTGACTTTATTCTGCTTCTCAAACTTACCTGTGCCAATAGGTTTAGTCTTATTTGAGTCTTTTAAAAGAATCTCTTATCTCTCATAGCCACTGCCTGAGATAACAATAAATCAGACACAGAAACCAATTCAAGGAGTTACAGAATTACACACTAATTTGAATTCCTGACCTTGCCAGGTCTCTTGTGTGAAAGTCGGGGCACTGATTGGGAAAGACTGAGCCTCTCAGAATCATAAGAAAATATTTGGGTGAATTATAATAAAAATAAGTCTTACAAACTCCATATCCCATTGATGTTTCCTTGCCTATAGAAGTAGCTGCTCTTTACCATTCTGTCAAAGAAAATCATGCCTTGCTTGAAGACACTGAAATGATCTTACCTACATCAGCCAGGGTCCAGAAAAAAGACAGAAATCATACCAATTACTTGAACAGACAGAAAATTTAATATAAAAAATCGCTAAGTAGAAAAATAGTAGCCAGGTAACTGAGAGGATAAAATGAGAACTATGAGGTATTATAAAGCTGGGGCTGCAGAAGACAGCTTTTGTCCCTAAGTCTGAGGGAACAAAGGGAATGGTGGGCATTATTAAAACTTAGAAACTTACAGGAAGGAAGCCTGAGACGCTGGGACCCAGACCTTTGAAGAGGGGATGTCGGCCTGCTAAGGCTGGTGAGTTAAAGTGGGTGCATAATAAAGTTGGTTATACCAATGTTGGAAAAATTACACAATGGATATAGGTGATTCCACTGGAAGAAAATTCCACTTCCTGGGTGGAGAACCGTTGCTGGGGTTACTTTTACAGGAACCAGAAGAAGCAAACAGTAAATTCACGTGGAGGAAACTGGAAGTAGAAAGAAGCTTCTCTTTCCTCTAGCCTTGCGGTATCTTTCTAGTGCCCCTTTATTGTAGATCCTAGTACAGAGCCCGGTGGCCAACCAGCAATGTATTTGCAGAGACCCAGCACCAGGATCATGAGTACAGACGGGTGGGTTGGAAGCTGACAATCCCTTAGTAACTGTCACATCACCTTAGGCCATTACTTCAAAGGACTTGTAGATTATCCTCATGCCCTGTTGCTGCCACCCCTTGTGGCTTTCAAACTCATAACTAGACTTACATCCTAACAAGCCTCAGGAGGACAAATGCAAAATCTGACTTGAAAGGAGATGGTGCACATATCAGAAAGAAATAGCTGCAAGGTTTTCCTGATTTATACAGTCACAAACTTAGGGAATATGTATAAGAATGAATTTTGTGGCTTCTGACAAGGGAAGAATGAACATATTAGAGAACGTGAATTTATGGTTAAAGATGCACATACACAAAATTTTGGATTCAAGTCCATCTCCAGCACTAACAAGCTTTGTGACCCTGGACAAGATGATTAATTGTTCTTTGCCTAATTTCTCACGCCTATAAAATGAGTAAAATAATTATATTGGCCCCATGAGACTATTGCAAAGATTAAATTAATTTATATATGTATCTGTTTAGAGAAGTATCTGGAACATAGTTAAGTACTATAAGAGTGTTAACAAATAAGAGATACAGGCAGCTAAAAGTGACTTGAATTGTCGGATGTTTAAATGAATGTTGGATACATCAGTTGCCTAAATTAAATCAAGTTTTTAGAAACTCTTTTTATAATATGATGGAAAAAATCTAACAACTTAAGGAGATAGGAGTTCTGGAGTACATTTTTTATGACCTATTCACCCACTCTCATCTATATCACCCTCTAGGGTCACTAAATATATATTATTCTAGGCTTCCTAAAGGGATTTGCAGCCATTTACCAAGATGGGTCTATATTTTACACAAAGAAAAGAAAGCAACCTTGGTTTTTCAAGGATTACCATACAATGGCTCCCAGTTAGCAATAATACTTGGATTCTCCTATGTTACTGACCTGTACAAGTCAGAATAAGAGTGTATATAAAGCAAATAATACAGAGTTTAGCTTGAGTTCAGCTCTTACAGCAGGCCTATAAAACAACTCTCTGTTTATTTCTATCATTTTTGATTGCATAATTGGAATTGGATTACATAATTACCTAATTGGCAGCTAGATGAATTTCCACACCGATCCCCCCTCACTCATAGAATAGGGACTATTTTGCTTATAAGGCCTAGGTAAAAGTCCTTGAATGTCCGCACTCCACCAAAATGATAAACCAAATTCGATCTTGCATCCCTGGTGAACCACAAATACTAGTGCCACCGTAAGTCTTGAAGGATGCCCATGTGGTGATTTCTCTCATGTCTCAATTTAAGTAGCAGAAGATAGATTGCTGTTGTGAAGAGAAGATGGATTGGTCTTGGATAAAGAGAGTGAATTATTTTAAGCTTGATCAGGGAATTAAATGCAACTGGGCTGCTGTTCCTCCTGTGATAGCTTTATTCTAGCAAATCAACATTCTGCTGATAACTGGTAAGCAGTTTTGAAAGTGCAAATTCTTTTACTTTCCCCATCTTAATAAGCAGATGCAGTTTAGCTTCAGGTCAGAAGTACACCTTTGCTAGTTCACCTCTGGTTCTCTGCATAAACTGGCCCCAAAAATCTTGATTATCTCACTATTCTACAGGGTATTAGACGGGTCCACTGCATTGATAACATTGTGTTGACTGAATTTGGTGAGCAGAAATGTTGTAAATGCCTATACATACATATAGATGTGTGTGTGTGTGTGTGTGTACATACATGTACGGGTGTGTGTGTGTGTGTGTGTGTGTGCGTGTGTGTGTATGCTGGAGAATGGGAGGTGAACATCACAAAAACTCAGGGTGCTATCTTAAGGTTGGACAGAGATCTGGGGATGTTGAGGTAACCATCCAAAGTAAAAAACGATTGACTTAATATTACACAACTATTCACCAGCTGGTGAACACAATTATTCACCAGCTTCCTCAGTACTGTAGAGCAGGGATGTTGGTAATGTTGGGAGTTGACATCATGTGATTTTAAATCAGAGTCCAAGGATAGCTGGCATGATGGCTCGTGCCTGTAATCCCAACTACTCAGGAAGCTAAGCCAGGAGGATTGCTTGAGGCCAGGAGTTTGAGATCAGCCTGGGCAACAAAGCAAGATCCTCATCTCTAAAATAAATAAATAAATAAATATATATATATATATATATATATATATATATATATATATATATATATATATCCATCCAGGGTGACAGGTACCTGCAGTCTCAGCTACTCAGGAAGCTGAGGTGGGAAGATCCCTTGAGCCCAGCAGTTTGAGACCAACCTGGACAATACAAAGTCCAATTATATCACCTTATTCCATTCTTTTCATCCTTATGGCACTTTTACAATTACCTAAATCTTGTATTAAATTTCTACCTGCTTAAAAACACAACAATACAGGGTTCTGTTATTGTACTAAACCCTGATGCGTACTGAATTGCTACTATGAACAAATTACCACAAATTTAGCAGATTCAAACAAAACCCATTTATTATCTTACAGTTCTGGAGGACAGAAGTCTGAAATGGGCCTCACAGGGCTAAAATTAAGTCATCCACTGGCTGCATTCCCTTTTGAAGCCCCTAGAGGAAAATTTACTTTCTTAGTTTTTCCAGTGTCTAGAGGCTGCCACAGACCTTGGCTACGTCCCCATTCCTTCCTCAAGGCCAGCAATGGTCATTCCAGGCTTTCTCACTTTGTGTCACTCTGATGCTAACTCTCCACCTCTATCACTTATAAGGATCCCTGTGATTATATTGAGACTACCCAGATAATCCAGGATAATCTTTCCATTTCACAGTCAGCTGATAAGCAAATTTAATTTCATCTTCCCCTTAATTCCCCCTTTCAATGTAACATAACACATTCATAGGCTCCAGGGGTTAGAATGTGGTCATCTTTGGAGAATCATATTTTGGATACTACAGACACCTTTTCTTTACCCCCAACATCATGTTATCATGAAAAAGAAGTTCCATTTAGTAAGCTTCTTGGTCTCTTGTTGACCTCCCAGAATTCAAGTTTTACTGAACTTGAAAGACATAAATGAGCACACATGGCTCATCTCCTTCTATATTCCCATAGGACTCTGGTGGGGTACTGAGAGTATGCATGGCGCTATCTGTAAAATGGTTCCTGGGGAGGCAGGAAACTGTGTTACTAGCTGGATGAATAATCCTGGGGTGCCTAATCCAGAGTCAAGTGATAACCAGACCTTTATCAATACATCTAAGGTACATTGCCTAAAAATTATCAGTGCTTAAATATTATATCTCCAACTATCTCTCCAGTGTCTACATCTCAATGGATTCTCAATTCTGACATATTAATTAGAAGTGTCATATATTGTCTTCATAATGTGCCAAAAGAAAATAATATCGGCCAGGTGTGGTGGCTCAGGTGGCTCATGCCTGTAATCTCAGCACTTTGGGAGGCCAAGGTGAGCGGATCACGAGGTCAGGAGATCTAGACCATCCTGGCTAACATGGTGAAACCCCATCTCTACTAAAAAAAAAAAAAAAATTAGCTGGGCGTGGTGGCGGGCACCTGTAGTCTCAGCTACTCAGGAGGCTGAGGCAGAAGAATGGCATGAACCTGGGAG
The DNA here is from genome assembly GCF_000001405.40 of Homo sapiens. Taxonomy (NCBI): domain Eukaryota; kingdom Metazoa; phylum Chordata; class Mammalia; order Primates; family Hominidae; genus Homo; species Homo sapiens. The sequence goes on along the minus strand of NC_000011.10, from coordinate 97,002,785 downwards.
GTGGAGCTTGCAGTGAGCCGAAATCGCACCACTGCACTCCAGCCTGGGATACACAGCAAGACTCCATCTCAAAAAAAAAAAAAAAGAAAAAGAAAAGAAAAGAAAAAGAAAAGAAAATGATAATATCTGTTACATAAGTAGTTATAAGCATTAAAGGTTCTATATATTTAAATGCTCAAAATAAGTAAGTCCTTAATAAATAATAGTTATATTAATACTATCATTATCTAGGCCAGTGAAAGAGGACAAACAGAAATAACTAAAGGTTTTAGGTATCAAATGAAGTGGGATTTGTAAAACTATTTCATGAAATGTTGAATAGAAGTGAGTTTTTAAAATAAAATCATAATTACTGCATATTTAGCTTCAATATATCTGTTTCTTATCACTAAGGATACAAAAGGTGAATGGGTAATATGTTTTCTGGGATGCCTTGTCCTTATCATTCTTTGTAAGAAATGCTTTCAACTCTTCAAGGCCAGTCTAAATTGCAAAGTCTATTATGAGAGGGCTTGTAGTAGTCAATTGAATTAAATGTAATAAACTGACAAGGTTGTAACATGAGGTGTATGTAAGTATTTCTAATGATCTGATATATCTATCATCTATATATTACAATTTTGTTCTATTTCTTTTAGCATAAAAACTACTGAAAAGGCATCGCCTAATTCTGTGCCTTCAGAAATAATATACTATGAAGTTTACTATGGCTTTTTATTGATCCATTTTTTTTCATAATTATGATCAAATAATTTATTAAGCAGTTCTATAGAGGGCCATTGTATGACTTCTTTGCTGACCTATATGTTTAATTTTGGGAATAAATTTCCTACATTTTTTATTTGTCCATTTTTATATTTTAATAAAAAGAGAGTAGACATTTTTTGCAAACAAAATTATTAAATAAAGATGATGGATGCCATTTCTAAAGTTAAATTCTTATACTAAATAACGGTTTTAAATTATATTTATTATTACACTAGGAGTTTTCAGCTGCATTTGGATTATTTTATTTTTTGGCATTAATAACCATTTTAATATTTTTTTCAAGTGTAGTTCATTATATTTAAAGTGCCATAAAATTTGTTGGCTAACTATGCTAGAACCTCTACCAACCTTCCACCCCAAAACCTGGGTAAATCCCACTAATTCCTTTACAATGATTTATATACTGCTTCATCTAGGTAGAGTTCTTTGAGTATCCCTTAAACGTTCTTGGGTACCCTTTCTGTGCAACTCCACATATTTCTCTTATCAATTGCCCTTGTTTTTGCTCATTTGTTTAGTTCTCTGTGTCTCTCAGTAGAAGGTAGTATCCCCCACAGCAGAAAAGCATGTAAACTTGCTCATCATTTTATTCAAAGTGCCTAGTACAGTAACTTACACATTATATTCCATTTACACAATAAGATGCATGATACTTACTATTTATTTCCTTAAGTTTATCAAGTATTTATCACTGATTCATAATGGAGACAAGCACTATTGAGGTGGTATTGTTGCAACACAAATGGTACATTTTAGTGTATGAATTGCATTCACGATCAGAAACCTATTTTAATGGATACATTTATATTAATGTCAAAAAAAGACAAAAATGTTTCATTAACTTCTCACTTTGAGTGGTAATTTGAATATAACATGGTAATAGGCTGTTTTCTTCTTTCCCCAGTAAACCAAAAACCACAGCTTCAGGATCACCATGAGCCAGCCAAAGTAGCAAATGCAGAGCTTTCCTCCAGATACTACATTTCTGTCATTATAATAAGCCCATGAGTCACTAACTAACTCCTGGTCATTTTCAGTTTCTAATATTTAACACACAGTTTGAAATGCTGGTTGCTTCCAGCAGAAGCTAATTAGTTTGGGTAATGTGTTAGGCAACTTTGTCAGATGTAATATCCCTCATTCCTCTTCAAATCAGCATACTGTTTATTATATAATTTCTGTAATAGCATTTTTCCTATGATCTGATACTAAGGCCATCCTTGTGGTGGAATAAATAAGGCCAACCACTGGATAAATTATAAAATAAGAAGTAGATTCCAGACATAGCTGCTCCACTAGGCGGTATGTTCTCTGGGCAGCCACTGGGGCCACACCACCCCTGCTGGGGCGCCCCGCCTCATCTTTTGGTGCTTGCTTTGCTTCTCTGGTGAGTTAGGACTATGTCAATGGCACCAATCAGGAAGAATTCAAACGGGTATTGATCAGAGTATTCAGAAGCTTCCGGATATTGTAAACAAACAATATATTTTCATACAGAAAAAATATTGCAATTAACTGTCCAGAAACCAGAGCAAGTTATCAAAAAGAGGATGTCTCAGAACCAAGGAATGAATTACAGGAAAAGATGTGCTGGTCCAGAAGTAATTGACAAAACTGAGGCATTGGCAGCAGATGCTGCAGGATATTAAGGTGTAGTACAAAAGCCAGCCGACATCCCTCAGGCTCCTTGGCCTACCTTGAGCAGGTGTCTGCCAATATCCCTGAACCTCTGAAGCTGACTTGAGCAGAAGGGCAAAGGCTGGCAGCCTGAATGTGGGTTAGTGTGTGATGCAGCCCTATGCAGGCGATTTGCCACACATCCCTTGTGATCTTAACATTTTGGAAGAACTCTTTGCCAGAGAATGAGGTGATTTTAGTTTAATGCCTCCACCTAAAAATGTTTCCATTATTTTTATAAACTGTTAATTTCATGAGCACATTATAAAATGCCTATAGCTTGGGTAAATCAAGTAAAAAAAATATTTTTTTGTCTTTAACAAAGTTTAGACTGTTAATGTGATGACACAGATTCTACTTTATGGGTTTTATTGTTGCTTGTTTTTTTAAGTTTTTGGATAACTTTTCATCTTTTTATGTGTGTCTCTCATTGCTTGTTTGATCTGAAGAAAAAAAATTAAAATAGCCTGAGAATCAGGGGATGAGGTTTTTGGTTGCAGGCCTTTTATAATAATGACCTTCAGTGGTAGTGGAGAAAAATACATAAATTTTCTGTTTCAAGACCTAACTTCCTCAAGAAGTGGAATCTAATGGAGCAATATTTGCAATGCTTCCAGAGCTCTCAGAATGAGGATTTCTTTTTGTAAACAGGTTGGAAGAGGATTAAAATATCCTGGGTGAGTGTAGCGATATTACAGTAGGATATTTAGGTTGATGCTGACTTTTATTTGGGGTAAAATTATATTTTGTGTGGTGTTTATTTACTTTTGATGGGGTGGGATGTAATAAAAGCAGTGATATGCTAAATTTTGTTACTTTCTGCAGTCATGAGTCATTTTAACTAATGGAGCAGAACTTGTCCCCAGTAGCCTGACAGTTGGGGCATAGGTGAGCTATGAGGGGCTAAAGCTTGCTCTGATGGTCTCTTTTTGTTTGGAGTTTTGTTCACTCACATTGCTTTTGTTTTACATTTGGGGAGGGAAAACATTTTTCATTAAGGAAAATTATTGCTAGTGGATTTGATTCTAAGGGACCTCCACCAGGGGCATGTGGTGCCTCTGCCTTTCGGAAGATATTTTGCTGTCTTGTTAGTTTTGCAGGTCACTTCGGATTCTCTGTTGAACTGCTGTTAAGAAATACAGACCGGCATTGTGTTTGGCTCTTGTTGGGTCGGGTTTTCCTGAGTTTTATGTTTCTTATCAGATCACATCCCTTTACCCATAATAAATGCTTTACTGTCTTCTGAACAGCTAGTACTCCAGGGCCTCCATGTCTTCTCTCGTTTGTTTTCTTCAGCTTCGAGAACCCCTTCCCACACGCATTAATGTCCACTCATGTTCTTGGTCAGACCTGGATGCCGCCTGGTCTCTGAAACCTCCCAGAGCCCTTTCTGCTGCGCCCCCAGGGCACAGGACTTTTATCTCTTCTATTGCTTGGTTCTTCCTTGTGGTTAGTAATTTGGATCTGTCTCTCTGCCCCTCACTAACTTTACAACCATGGGAATTAGACATTATTCTCCTTAAATATACAGGGACCATATATTATCTTTTACGCATGATACTTATTACTCAGTTTTGATTGCATGTGTATGGTATCTGGCACATGGACTTGTGACTACCAGTCTGAGGCCAAGAAATCCCCTCAGTTGGAATATATACATTCAACAAAGCTTTTGAAAGCTCATACTATTTGACCTCAAGATTTTAAAACTTGTCATCTCATAGTAATTAGGAACTCTGATTGACAGCTTTAGATTTTTTGATAAACTGATAAGTTTTAGGCATTCTTTCAACGTGGTTCTCTGTGAAAAGATTGGGAAATATTCTACATGGTACTTAGTGAAAATATTTTGAATTAATGTATGTACCAATTATTGGCATTTCTTTATTAAATTCAAAAGTTTTTTTTTTTTTCAGAAACAAAAACAAATTACAAACCAAAAGCCCATCTTTAGTAACTTTCATTCCACTTAAGTGTCCCCTTTAGGTTGTACTAGCCAACAAATACCCAAAATTAACCTGTTGTAAAATAATTTAGTATCCTATGGGACCAGGCAATGTTAAAATCCTTTCTAAATACACGTATACAAATTTAAATCCATGTACTATTATTATCTTATGTCCCTTTATCTTAAATGTGTCTGGTAAATATTAAATTAATTAAACAATTGTGCTAAATCTCTCTACCTCCAAAATCTGTGTATTTCCCTCCCTAAAAGTTAGAATCAAAAGTTCAGAGGCTATATAAACATCAAGTTTATTTAACATAACTTTCCTTCTTTCAATAAATGTTACAAATATTATATATGATATAAATGATATATATCATATATCAGATATAAATATTTATGATATAAATAGTATATATGATATGTATTATATCATATTGTAGATGACAGGGATGATTCTAGACACTGAGTATATGGTAAAGAACCAGATAAAAATATCCCACAAAGTTATTGCTACCCCTAAACACAGCAGTAAACATATGACATTTTTTATCTTGTTTTATTTTTTAAATCTATCCCATTGTCTTAATAACTTGACTTGATATTCAGTTCATCTTACTTTCATATCCCATTAAGTCTCCAGTTCCTACTGAAATTCCTGTTGCTCTACGTCTTTACTCCCTATGTGCATACCTATCATACTCTATGTCCCATTCGTTCAAAGTTCAAATAGATGATTGAAGGCATCAAAGATGTTAATGCTGACAATGACTTGAAATGTAAGTCATACAATAGCCAACAGCCCCCAACACATTAGCATTACAGCAAACAATTGAGGAGAAAAGAGAAAAGAAAAACAGAAAGAGAGCGATAAAGTGAGCATTTGAGCAAGTTTGAAAGGAGGGAGGGAAGAAAGGAAAGAGGAAGAAAGGAAAGAAGGGGTGAGGGAGGGAGGAATAATGATAATAATAATACAGGTCAACATTAGTTGATTGTCAGTGATACCCAAACTATGACTGTCATTTGGAGGAATAAGCACTACTTTGTACAGTTTTCACTGTTCCTGAATAGAACTTGGCGTGTAGTCATTTGTTTTCTGAAACTGTTGGATGGTTTTATTGGCTGAAGCCCATAAATAATATATCTGAGTGATGGTTTAAACCCCAGAATTTGTGAGCAAACTTTATGGAAACGACCTATATTGGTTTTCTATTGCTGTGTAAAATAGTGCCACAAACTTAACAGCTTAAGCCAACATATATTTATTATCTGACAGTTTCCATGAACCAAAGGTGAAGTACTGGCTAGCTGGGTTTCATGGGGCTGAAATGAAGGTGCTACCCAGGGCTGCAATCTCACATGAGACTCTGAGTCCTCCTCAAAGCTCATTCAGTTTGTTAGCAGGATTCAGTATTTTATGAGTGCAGGGCTGAGGTCCCCATTTTCTTGTAGGCTGTATGTCAGAGATCATTCTCAGCTCCTAAAGGCTACCTCAGGCTTTTGCCATTCAGACCTCTTACAACATGGCAGCTTACCTCTTCAAAACCAGCAGAGCGGGCCGGGTCCAGTGGCTCACGCCTGCAATCCCAGCACTTTGGGAGGCCGAGATGGGCGGATCACGAAGTCAGGAGATCCAGACCATCTTGGCTAACATGGTGAAACCCATCTCTAATAAAAATACAAAAATTAGTTGGGCATGATGGCACATGACTGTAATCCCAGCTACTCGGGAGGCTGAGGCAGGAGAATCACTTGAACCCGGGAGGCCGAGGTTGCAGTTAGCTGAGATGGCATCATTGCACTCCAGCCTGGGTGACAAAGCAAGACTCCGTCAAAAAAAAAAAAAAAAAAAAAGTAGAGCAATAGAGCAATGACACTCAACTCTGTTAATATAGAATCTTTTGTACTATACTATAATCACAGTCCACACTTAAGGGTTGAGGATTATTCAGGGCATCTCCAACAGGGTGCAAGAACATTGGAAGCCATTTTTGGTTGCTGCCTACTGCAACACCCTTAAAGTTTCCTATTTTATCTTTTAGAATTAACCTGGTTCTTCCAAAGACTTGCTTGTGGATAAATAATGTGGAAGAGACATGGATTCTTTAACGCAGAAACTATTAAGCTAAATTCAGAGAAAAGCTACTTATTTTCCCCAAGATTATGTTTTTTCCTTCTAGAAAAGCATTTCTGCTTACTTTTTCTCCTAACAACGGCAGCAAACTCTTTTATAAAAAGCAATCTATGAAATGTCATTTAGGATTATGTTTAAACTACCAATATTAAACTATATCAATGATGATGGCTTATAGTGCTGAATCATGACAGTCAATGGTTTCCCTGGAATTGGGTGTGTTTTTCTAGCTTCCTTCGTAACACTACATTCAAGGAGTTTTTAAGACCAAAACATGCTACCAAATTTCCTATTTATCTTTTATATTTCAGAATTGCAAAATATGCCAAATACAGAATATTCTGTGAATTCTTCAAATACTCTCTTATCTTAAATATATTCAGTATAGAAAAAAGACTTAAGATGTTCAGTAAAATAGGACTGGAGCTTTATAGACCTAAACCTGTTCAAAATAAAAAACTGTTGAATTCTATGTATAACTAGTAAAGACAGAAGTTTTTCTTTTTTAAAAAACAAAATACATACACTGAGTGATGAAACATATAGGTCTAATATTCAATGAATATTGTATCCTGACTAGAGAAAAAACTGACTGTAAGTCATTCAGACACACTGAACCATGGCAAAATAATATTTTTTTATTAAACTAAGTGGTTTCTTTTCACAGGAGTAATATTAGCAAAAGGGATTTGAGTGTTATTTTTTGAAATACATATATCGTAATGTGAAATAAAGCACAAGATCATAATCTATTTTGTATCTTGTGAAGTACAAAATTATGATTTATGGTGTCTATTAGGGAGAGCGGAAGTTTGGGCATGTACATACCTGGGAAAACCAAACATAGTCATTATCATGAAGTTAAGATAATGCAAAGTAGCATAGAAGAGGTCTTACTAGATATCTGGTAGATTTAAAACAAAATCATAATTATTTTTCTTATTTGTATAGGTAAACATGTAAAAAATGTTTTTATTTTCAAAAATCTAACATGTCAGTTAATATTCTAGACTTGGATACATTTTAGTGTGGGTAGAATCTGGTACCGGATAAATCTGTGATTAGTCTCCCTGAGAGAAAACAAACCAAGGAATCAGGACCATAAGGTAGACAATTTAATTTAATGACAAGTGTTTCTCTGCATGACAGAATCAGGACTGTATTCTTACCTTCCTCACCAACTAAATAAAGGCATACTCCTTCCCTAACTCCTAAATTGAAAATTATGAGAATGTTTAATTCTGGATTATAAATGAGGAAGCTAATTCACTAACCTAAGAGCTTCCTCTGTAAGATGTTTGAGTCTGTGCAAGCTCTCTACTAAACCATTCTTTAGTCATTTTCTGCTGAATTTACATATTACTGCATTAAGCTTCTTTGCCCCTCCTTTCGCTAATCGATTTTAAAAACCTTTTAGCTTTCCCTTTTATATAGATATAGTCATAGCCATCAACGAATAATAATATAAACAATTATTTATGGATTTATGTTTTAACTCATTCCTTCATCTATGTAAACATCCATTCATTGAATATTTGGAAAGTATCTGTATCAGTCAGGGTTCTACCATAGAAATAGAATTATTAATAGTAATTGGAGATATTAGAATATACATACATATATGTTCATTTATATATATAAAAATATACATTAATTACAAGGAATTGGCTTATGTGATTTGGAGACTAGCTAAGCAAGTCTAAAATATGCAGGCAGGCCATCAAAAGGACAGGTTGGAAGCTCGGGGAGGATCTGAAACTGCAATCCACAGTCAGAATTTCTTCTTCCTTATGAAAATCTCAGTCCTTCTCTTAAAGCCTATCTACTGATTGAATTAGACCCATCCAGATTAATGACAATAATGCCCTCAAAGTCAACTGATTGTAAATATCAATCATATCTACAAAATTCCTTCATAGTAACACCTAGTGTTTGACAGAATAACTGGAGACTATAGCCTAGCCAAGCTGATATACAAAACTGATAATCACAGTTTACTCTTGTCATCTTGGTACTTATACACAACTCCTCAATCCATATTTAATTTTCAAATGAAGACAATAGCCAGGTCATACTTCCACCTAACATGGTACCTATCCTGCATACCACTAAAAATGCATTAATCCTTTCCCTAGAAGATAATTCAAATATTTGGGTGATGTTAAGTCTTTTACTTGATACCCTGTAACTTAAATAGTGATATAAAGTTAATTATGATTAATACATCTTGTGTTAGTTAATAAGGAAATAAGAGAGGGAAGAAAAAAATTGATAAACACATACAAACATACTCACATCAAAATAAGAGAAATATGCTTGAGGATTTCAATCCTCATTCTGCAACTGGCCATGGGGTTATAGCTGGTATTTATAACTACCTTCTTGCATTGCCATTTTATATTGCCTTTACCCTCAAAAAGCACTTTAGTTGGTATTATAGACTGAATTGTGTCCCACCAAATTAACATATTGAAGCCCTAACCTCCAATGTGACTGTATTTGAAAAGAAAGTCTTTAATGGGGTAAAGTTAAATTAGATTAGGAAGATGAGACCCTAATCTAATAAGTCTAGTGTCCTTATAAGAAGAGGAAGATATATCAGGAATGCATATGGACAGAGGAAGGGCTACATAAGAACACAGCAAGAGGACAGCTATCTGCAAGGAGGGAGAGAGGTCTCCGGAGAAACCAAACCTGCTAACACCTTGACCTTGAACTTCCAGCCACCAGAAGTGTGAGAAAATAAATTTCTGTTGTTTAAGCCACCAAGCTTGTAGTATTTTGTTATGACAACCCCACAGACACACAGACGGTCATGGTTCTTTGCCCAACTAGTTAACCAAACCGTCATTCCTGAAAGGACTATCCCATTAACACTCTTGTCTAAATTAAGTTGTAGTTTTCTACAGACTTTAATCATCATATGGCATGACAGTACTAAGATATACCCTGAATGATCTCTTGTAGTCCACATAATCTTCCTGACCTCTATTACATAGTGACAATCCCTTGATAATCAAGGGACTACCCTGGCTAAGCCAAGAGTAAACTGGATTGTAATCACTCAGCCAGTACAATAACTCTCTACTTTACCTGTTGATTCAGAGGAATGAGGAGCCTAAAGTGACCAGATGACACCCTTAAATTTCAGTTGGAAATAATTATTTCTGGTAGAAGCACTTCTCCTTTTGGAAGTAAGACCTCTCTCTATATAAGAAGAGAAGAATGTCTTGGGGATGAGAAGCAAAATATTTCTAAAGCCTCACTAGTGGTAATAGTGGGCAGTATCACTCCCACATCCACCTGTTGATTCCTGGACCTCTGAATCCTGGCTATGAAGATAAAACAGCACCATATACTGAATGCTTACTTAGAGAAGATAGAGCCTTTTGGAGGACATTGTCCCAGCCCTGCAAGGTACTGCTGCCTGGCTAGTGCTATAATTGAGTCTTCAAATGCCCATTCCACCATTCTATCCAGACAGCTGCTTCTGAATGATGGACCATATGGTGAGATCAGTGAATTCCATGAGCTAGGCCTACTGCTACATTGCATTTGGTGTCAAATGATTTCCTTGATCAGAAGAACGCTATGAAGAATACCATGACAGCGGATACATTATTCTTTAAGTCCACAGATGGTCATTTTGGCAGAAGCATTTTGTACAGCAAACGCAAATACATATCCAAAGTAATTAATATACCAAGTAGAACAAAGCACTGCACCTTCCATGGTGGAAGTGGTTGCATGCAATCAACCTTCCACAAAATAACTCTCTATCACACCCAGCAATTATACCATATTGGGGAATCAGTGCTGGTCTCTACTATTGGCAGAAAGGGCACTCAGCAGTGGAAAGATTGGCCTTGGTAAGCGGAAATCCACATTGTATTTCATGCATAGCCTCCATCCCTGCCACCACAGGTACTTTTTGTTCATGAGCACATTGGGCATGACAGGACTGGCTAGGGAAACAGGCTCACTGGTGTCCACAGAATGAGTTCTCCTAATCACTTAATTATTAACATCCCTCTCTGCTGAAATAACTTTTTGGTGAACATTGACATGGGGCAAAAATAACTTCATGTTCTTTACCCATGCAGAGAGATCTATCCACATACTTTACCTCCCATACTCAGACTTCCTTATCATCAATTTTCCAATTGTATTTCCTCCAAGCCAAACCTTTGACCACAGCCTATTGATATAAACGCATTATCGCTAGCCATTTCTTTTTTTTTTTTTTTTTTTTTTTTTTTTTTTTTTTTTGAGATGGAGTCTCGCTCTGTCGCCCAGGCTGGAGTACAGTGGCGCGATCTCGGATCACTGCAAGCTCCGCCTCCCGGGTTCACGCCATTCTCCTGCCTCAGCCTCCCGAGTAGCTGGGACTACAGGTGCCTGCCACTACGCCTGGCTAATTTTTTTGTATTTTTAGTAGAGATGGGGTTTCACCGCGTTAGCCAGGATGGTCTCGATCTCCTGACCTTGTGATCCGCCCGCCTCGGCCTCCCAAAGTGCTGGGATTACAGGCATGAGCCACGGCACCGGGCCCATTTCTCTTTTTAAACAAAATGGACAACCAGGTGCACTGCTAAAAGTGTTGCCCATTGGTTGGATTTTTTAAACTACTCCCTTTCAGAGACGTCTCAGTTCTGCAGCTGTATTCCATTTTCAAGTGGTTCCTGCATATCTTGCAAGACCATTTGTAAAGTAGGCCCGAGTTTTATCTTCCCCAATCAACTGATTGCAGAGAACTTCTCATAAGGCCATAGGTATGGGCTGGGAGACAGTAGGTAATATGGTGGAGTAGGGGCCATGGCATTTATACAATTTCCTCATTAAGCTTATTTATGCCTTCAGGGCTTGTTCAAATCTAAGCTCATATATACTACTACTATTTGATAATATATCCCTATACTGGGCGTTCCTGAAGCTTTATGGCTTGATGGGTCAGATAACCCCCAAGTTCATGATGGGCAGTTCAAGTTTCTGGTAACTTGCTGGTCCAGTTAAGCATTTAGCCTCTTCTAAGCTGAAGCTTCAAGCCACAGCAGTTTCTCAGAGAGAGTAATTATCCACAGTAGATGAAAGTGCTCTGCTCCAAAATGCTAAGGCTCTGTGTTGTAATTCACATAATGAGGGCTGTAAAAGGCTATAAACAGAATCTTATCTACCACTGACACTTGGAGCAACATCGGATTTGCTGGCTTATACAGACCAAGTGGAAAAACAGCTTGCAGGAAAGCCTAAACTTATTGCAGTGTTTTCTCTTATTCTGAGCCCCACTCAAAACCAAAAGTGTCTTGGGTTACTCAGTAAAAGGGCTGGATAGCACACCCAAACGCAGAATATTTTGCCTCCAAAATCTAAAGGGGCCCACTAAGCACGGTGCCCATGTTGGGGTTTTAGGAAGACCAAGATGTAGCAACTCATCCTTCATCTTAGAAGGGATATCTTTACATGTTCAACACCTCTGTACCCCTAGAAATTTCACTGAAGTAGAAGGCACCTAAATTTTTGCTGGATTTATTTTCCACCCTCTGTCACACAAAATTATTACCAATATGTATACAGCAGTTGCTATTTCTTTCTCACTGTACCCAATCAACATAATATCGTCAACATAATAGACCAGTGCAATGTTTTATGGAATGGAAACATGATATACCCCAGAGGTAGGAGAATCAATGTGTATTGTTGGCCTTGCTGAAAGTAAACTGCTTTTAGTGATTTTTACAAACAGGTAAAGAGAAAAAAGAATTTGCCAGATCAATAGCTGCGTACTAGATACCAAAGGGTGTGTCAATTTGCTCAAGCAACAAAATTGCATCTAAAAGAGCAACTGCAAGTGGAGTCATAATATGGTTAAACTTGTGATAATCCATGGTTATTCTCCCTGATCCATCTGTTTTTTCACAGGCTAAATAGGCAAGCTGCATGAAGATATTGTGGGAATCACTATCCCTGACTCTTTCAAGTCCTTGATGATGGCATTAACTGCAGTCCTTTCAGGAATGTAGGAGTGCTTCTAGTTTACTAGCTCCAGGAATGACTTCCACTTGGCCTTTTCCTTCCATAATAAGCCTCACTCCACAGGTCAAGGAGCAAATGCGTGGATTTTGTCAGTTGACAGGTTATGTCTATTCCAACTGCATACTCTGGAACCAGGGAAATAAACACAAGGATTCTGCAACCCATTGGACCCCTGTGAGATGAACCAGAACCTAAAATTACATTGATCACTTTGATAGTTAATTCAGTGTGTCACCTTGGCTAGGCCATGGTACCCACATATTGGGCCAAACACTTAGATGTTTCTACGAATGCATTTTTTTAGAGAAAATTAACATTTAAATCAGTAGACTTTGATTAAAGCAAATTATCCCGCATAATATGGGAAGTCCTCATCCAATCAGTTGAAGGCTTCAAGTGAAAAAATACTGAGCTCTTCTGAAAAAAGGGAATTCAGCCAGCAGACTGTCTTCTGACTGCAGATTATCTTCTGACTACAATACTAACTTTTCCCTGAGCTTCAAGCCGCTGACCTACTCTGCAGATTTTGGACTTACCAGCCTCCCCAATCACATGTGCTAATTTAAAAAAATAAATCTATATCTATCTAACCATCTCTCTCTTCCCCCACCCACATTGGTTCTGTTTTTCTGGAGAACCCTAACACAATCACACATACTCCATAAGCCTCTCCTCTTGATTGGTTTGACTGTTGGACCACAGTGACACTGTGAGTGTCTTAGGTTTAGCATTAGTTCAGGACCAATGTCCAAGGCCCAACTAACTCCATTGCATTTAGATATGCCAGTTCCATGGCAGCAGCTCTCACTATAGTTTCTGATCCACTGAGAAAAGTGACCAAAGAGTTCTTCAATGATGCTTAGACTCCTCTCACAAAACTACTTCTCACAGTTGTGTTGAAAAGTGTGTCCTATGAACCCTCTTAGGTTGGGTGAGTAGATCTGACGTGATTAAATCTACTCAAAAATTTCAATATCTCTAAGCCTTTGGATGACTTCCTCTACAGTATGCCAAAGAAGTTCTGGCATATAGTGTAGTCCGTCTTTAGGACTGTATTTCATCCAACCATATAAATTGTTAGAGCCGTTTCTCACACATCAAGCTATAAGATTGAATGAAGAATCTCTAACTGGACCTGTATCAATAAACTCAGTTTGATCCAACTTTATATCCTCTCATTATTATCCTACACCCTTAATATTTACTCTTACATATATTCCCCAGGTTTCTCTGTATAAACTGGAAATTCATAAAACTCTTTAGGTGAGTATCACACCTCTTCATGCATCACACTTGGTACCTTACCCTTTGGAAACTACTGGGACTTGTGTCTAGTGTTAGGTCTAAAAGCAAAGAGAGGTGGCAATAGTATTAGCAGTAGCTATTAAGCCAATTACATCAAGTGAGACTATTACATGTTCTTCAGGCAAGATTCTTCAGGGTTAACCTTTGCAGACTGGGGTGGGAGGCCTGCTTCTACTTGCACAAAAGACTTAGCAGAATTTAGGGTTTTGATATCCTCAGCTTCATCAGGGTCTTTTCATTTGTCCCCATTCCCATGGTCTGGATTCAATTCCTTCTCAATATACGCCCTCACTCACTTTAACAGCAGACACCATACAAGATTGGTCATTCTATTTATGTTATAATTTAACCACTCACTAGATGAAACTCTGAGTTTTCTGGGTTTTATTTTTAGAAATCTCAGCCCTGCAGCTATAGGAAATAAAAGTTGCTTTCAAGTCAGACACAGATGCTTACAGGTTATTTAGGTAGAGCTTGAATTGGAAATTTGAAACCTTGATCTCATTCTTTTCTTTCCTGCCTTTCTCTAGCACATTTAGGGGCAACCAGGCAATATCTTAACAGTCCTAAGTTTAACGAAAATATTCTGTGGTATAAAACACATGGTCACCTATGTATAGTATAATAATTATATGTATATTTATGTATAATAATTATAAAAGTCAAAACCTTGACTTTTATAATTATTTCATTAAGAGTATCCAATGGTTATATTTTGTGTATTTCTATTGTCACATCATGCCATGGACTACCAGTGCCTTCTTTACCACTAGAAATAGAGTCATTAGTGCCACTAAATGTAACCATATTAGAGAATCTATTCTAGGAAACCCAAAACCAATTCAGAAATCACATTGTCAAGATTCTAAATCCACTTTTGGTGCTCAAATAAGTCACGTTTTCACTACAAAAACAGGACTAGTGTTAGAGAGAGAGAGAGGGAAGGAGAGATTTCTTGCATGGAGTTGTTTTCTTGATTGTGGGATCTAGCCAGGCAAGTCTGAAACACACAGGAAAGGCCATGAAGAAGGCTAAGCTAGAAATTCTTGGGCAGGAGCTGAAGCTGCAGCTGGTAAGTGAAATTTCATCTTTGTCATGAAAACCTCAGTTCTGCTTCTAAGACTTTCCAACCTATTGTATCAGGCTCACTTATATAAATGAGGCCCACTTTTTATTTAAAGCCCACTGATTGCAAATATTAGTCATATCTATAACATGCCTTCACAATGCCACTTTTGGGGTCTGATTGAAAGACTAGAGACTATAACCTAACCAAGTTGACACATAGGGACTGACTGTCACAGTATCAAATGTATGCCAAGTACCGTGATAGAGACAACAGGCAATCACTATAATGATGAAGCTATGTTTGTCCAAGAGTATACTCCCTTGAGTAGAAATCTGTATTATAGACACCAATCCTGCCTGTTCTGTAAACTGGGTACATAGTGAAAAGCAATTTTATATAATGGAGAAAATCAGTCCACATATCTCCTAGGTCAAGACTTTCATGTGACTTTCCCTGACTACTTAATTGACTACTAGCTGTAATATCTATTACTGTATTACTTATTGTATGAGGCTAAGATAAATGAGGCCCACCTTTTATTTAAAGTCAACTGATGGTAAATGTTATTCATATCTATAAAATGCTCCTACAGAATTCATATAAAAAATAGTTTTTATGTTCAATCAAAAGTATTAAGTTGTCATATTTGACTATTCCATGAGTACTCTTGCTCCCCATCTAGTAGTTAAGCTCCTCGAATGAAGAAAATGTATAGTGCTTGGGTATTCCCCTGACCTCTTACCATGCTTTAAACATATGATAGGTTTGTTGACATGAAGTAAAAGGAATGGTCCACTACTGATTTAAATGATATTTTGTCAATATTTAAAATTGCTGTAAACTCTGAGTTCTTTTGTGGGTTTTAAAATAAAAAATAAAATAAAGTGGTTGGAAACTCATAAGTAGGGAATGTGAATTACAGTGGCGTGAAAAGAGGAATTAAAACAAACCCCACTCTGTTATTACCCAATAACTTCATTGACTTTTTTATATAAACCCTTCTCCCTGAGGATGGGCTAACATACATCACTGCCTGTGAAGGGCTAAACTGAGACTCCTAAACCCAACTTCCCAGGGCCTCCTCCTAGGAATGTCATTACTAATCCAAAGAGCTCAACTAATGGAGTTTAAAGTGACAGGGTCTTTTATAGAGTAATAAAATATTTTAAGAAGTACTTCAGAGGCTTCTAATTCTCCCAGTAACACAGTAAATATAATGAACATAAAAATTATCTTTGCAGCTGTTGTGTCCGTAACACTAACAAACTCTCAGCACTGCAGAAGATGAAAATAGCATCTGTTATTTTGATTCACCCAATTTAATCACATGGAGTTTGAACATTTGCCATTTTACAAGTTTTGTTTGTTGATTTACAAGATTTTTATAAGATTATGTGACATCCTATTGAACATATACTTAGCATGGGCCCATTTGCCTCACCCTACAGGGTCCCTAAACATAACCAAAAGAGCTCTCCTGTGTAACCGCAACAAGATATTTAGCATTACACAGTAAAGAACTCTGTAGGAAAGAAAGAAGTCAGATGGTGAATTCTTACAATACAAGGGTATGGTTATTTCTATACAATGTTAATAAGCAAAATTAATAAACATTTCCCAGCCTCAGATTTTCATATCTGCACATATCACCTTGATAATGTCTACAGAAATTTACTAAGATAACCAATGATGCCTTTTCCCTACACAACAGATATTGAAGCAAGATTGAAGAACACTTTTATTTTAATAAATCACAATCTTTTGGATTTCTTTTTCAACAGAGACAATAACAAGTTGATTTATAAAACTTCTAGTCTGAAAGAAACTATCTAGAAATAATGAAAATCCATTTCTGTAGATTCCCCTCTTGTAGATTTTTGTGTCTTGCCACTTTACAGTACTAGGAACCATAGGCACAACTGGCCTCTACCTCATGAATTTCAATGTTAGTCTATTAGTAATTATGTAATATCAAATAGCTCTCATTACATTTCTATGTTTAATGTCTAGAAAAATACGTTCACAAGTTAAAATGAAATGCTTATTTTTTCTTTAAATTTTTGTTTATTTTATATGCCCTTATTATATTAAAAAAGCAAAAATTGGCTAAAGGAGTTTATGCTTTCTGTGCTAGTACTGTGCTAAGCATAAGAGGTTGAAAATCAAAGAAGACATTGTTCCTGATCTCAAAGATCAGGATAGCTTTGAATAAAGGAGGTGAATGAAAAAAAAATGAACCAATTTCTTTGCCACCACTCTCCCCAAACACAAACTCTCATTCGTATTTAATGAAGATTGTTGGCCAGAGAAAAGTTTTTACAGTAGACGTTTACAAGAGACGTCACAAAATTTTAACTCAAACTCAGAAGATAAATTTTAAAAGAGAAAGTTAATAAAGAATTAAAGGACTTACTTTCTCCTTGCTATTAGAGAAGGCAGGTACCATGTTCAATACGCTGCACCCTCTGCCAAAAAATAAAAATAAAAATAAATAAAAAATAAAAGCACTAAAGCCAAAACACATTTTCCTTCTGAAGTTCATTTTTTTTTTTTATTGGTGGCCTGGCTTTGAAGATAATGTTCTGCAGTGATGTGTTGATGGTTGGGATGTGCCAACTGTTGTTTTGATAGTGCTCATGTCATGTGCCCAAACATAAAAAATTGTTCTGAAATAAGTCTCTTAGCATGATGCAGCTACTATTGCTATTGTTGCTCCTTGTCAAGATTTATTGCTCTGGAGTATGCTTGTTAAGAAGAAATAGAAGAATTTGATATCTAAAATAAATTAGTCTCTGGGCCTCCAGAGGATATCTTACTTGTCCATTCTTTTCACAGACAGGATTGATCATTTTCTCTGGAAAAGAAGGAGCTAAAAAATGACCAAAATGGGCTTTCAAATGTGTATAGGGCAGGGAGGAATAACAATTGACTAAAATGAGGCTGCTACCTTCCCTGAGGTCATGACAGGACTGGAATGGACTTTGAAATACAGCAGGAGGGATTTAGTTTTCCACATTTGAAAGGAAGTTTACTGATAGAGGTAAGAGACTCCATCCTTCCTGACTGTCCATCTGTCTTGAATAATTAATATGTCATCCCGCTCAGTGGATGACAAATGAATAAGA
The DNA here is from genome assembly GCF_000001405.40 of Homo sapiens. Classification (NCBI taxonomy): domain Eukaryota; kingdom Metazoa; phylum Chordata; class Mammalia; order Primates; family Hominidae; genus Homo; species Homo sapiens. The sequence goes on along the minus strand of NC_000011.10, from coordinate 96,984,726 downwards.
GCATAACATATTGAGTGTTTCACAAGTTGGTACAGATTCGTATGAATCCCTTATACTTACACATGCCAAGTAATTGATAATCTTCATTGTGAGATTGAGAGCATCTGGTTAACATGCCACATCAAAACATGTACCTGGAAAAGCAATAACTTAAAAACAACTTGCTAGAAATATATGTGATGTTCAACATGCTTGGCCACTTATTGTATAAGTTCTGTAAGAAAGAGACAAACTGCTTGCCTGACTTAACATAGAAAAAAATAGAACTTCAATAAAACATTTTTTGCCTATAGCCAGAAATCCAAGAATACTGATCACCTGGTCATCACAAATTTTGCAGAACTGCAAAGTCAAAATTATTTGTCTGATGATAAAGCTAATGCTTGCAAAATCCAGGAGGCAAGAAACAAGAATGAAAACTGGATCAAGAAGGCCCGAAAGAAATGAGTCTGACTTGCTAGGCATTTCTCAAATACTTTACTGCCCAAAAAAAGTAAGTTCCTCCATCATCTAGGATGTAGCCTGTTAGTGGGGGCTGATATGTTTTGTTTCATCATTTTAGACTGAGGAATGAGTAGAGCTCTGAGGCCTGCCATTAAAAGATAGAAGCTGTAAGAGCAGATGCAGTTTTAGTGACCCCTCCTCTATAAGATATCTGGCTTGGTTCTAGACCAAACTATGACCAGAAATTGAATTAACCAACTAGTAATTATGGTAAATCCCAGCAAAATGTTGAATCTTTAGTTGTTCACAAAACATGTCAATCCCTAGATCCCCATAATTTTTACTAATATGAAGTGGGCTTTTAATGTGATAGAATTCCTAAAATAAGAAATACATATCTAGCCCCACTAAAGTGAGGTAACGGAGGATGAATGAAAACAGATATTCTCCTGGGAGGCAGGACTTAGAGCAAGCAGTGGAAGACCAGGGGCTAACTCCACTGGAGAAAAATTAGTCCCTGTTATTCTGGTCCAAAAAATTTTGAAATATGCTATAGAATGGTGCTATTTTGTTTTATCCAAGCTTCACAACTGTCCCTTAGTGAACCACTAACATCCATCCTCTTGTGTGGTCCCTTCCATAGTTAAATTGGGCTTTTCCTTATGACTAGCTTTAACTATGATAATGCAGTGGAAGTGAAGCTATGATAGCTCAGAGCCTAAACTTTAAGAAGGCCTAGAAGAACCTTCTAGAGACCCCTGAACCGCCATGTAAAATGTCTATCTACCTGACCGGAGGGACCACATCAAGAGAGTCTGTGTAGAGAGACCATACAAATAAAGAGAAGACCTGCTCCATGGAAATAGAGGGAGCCCAGCATACCAGTGTAGTTCCAGATGATGCTGGCCAGCCGCAGCTGCCATCACACTGCAACCACAAGGGAAAAAACTAGTCAGGCCCACAGAACCGTAAAATATAATAAAGTGGTTGTTTTAAGCCACTATGTTTTGGTTGGTTTTGTAAGCAGCAATAGATCAGTGGAACAGAAGTTATCACTTTCTCTTATTGTTTTACATTTCTAAATAAGTGTTATTACTGTGGTTAGCCCATTTTTTTTTTTATTCCATACCTTATGGAAGATCTGAGAATTTGTTTAACTTAATCATTTAGGCATAGACTATGGACTGTGTGAAGCCACATTTAGAGAAGACTGATTAGAATGCTTACCACCCATTGATCCTGGGATCTGGAGCTGAATGCAGCACATGAGTTGCAGTTATGATGAAGATTATTAGAACAGATGTCTATATTAAGAGGAAACACACTTAAAATAATCTGTAAGAAAATGAATGCAGATGGGGCCTGGGGAGGATATTTATTTGTCAGCATTTTCTAGTGTCACTGTCCTATTCTTTCTGTTAACATAATCTTTTTTGGTGGGAAACCTATTGCATGTAGTTTGGGGGGTACAGATGTCATCCTAGTGTCACCACAAATTCTGGGATTTGAGAAAACACTATGTAGTGATTGCTTTACTTACAGAATATGCATCTGAGACTACTGCCAGTCGTTTGCCTACCACATAGGCAGAGCCTTTTTGAGAGAGAAAACAAACCAGATAGAGGAAAAGACAGAAAGATAGAAAGATAGAAAGACAAAGGAAGGAAGGAAGGAAGGAAGGAAGGAAGGAAGGAAGGAAGGAAAGGAGAGAGAGAGAGTCTTGACAACACAGTTAAATCACCCAAACAAGTGATACTTCACCCTCCTAGGAATATAAGCAGATAAACAGCTTTTTCTTTCTTTAATATTATTATGATTGTTGCTATTGTTTGCTTTTGAGTTGTTTTTCCATTATTTCATAGAAGGAGTATGACTAAAGTCATTTTCACAAAATATTACTATAACTTTCCTTAAGAATCAACTATAATTTTTATACTGAACAGGTGAAGCATAGATTCTCTATACCATCGTCTTTGCCTGGGAGAGGTGCTACAAGCGGGTCATATTCTGTGATATTGCCCAATGTCATAATGACCCCTATGAATCCTTTTCAACAGATTTTTGCACAGCGTCATTTCCCCTGGATTCTGACAGTTTGTGCTTCAGCAGGGCCCTAATTCAGGTGGGGTGCCTGGAGGCATGCGCACCAAGGAAAGCTTTATCAGACAAGCTGGCAGACGTGGAACACAGAGCCCAAGTACAGGGACATGTCTGGTTTAGAAACAGGAAATCACCTGAGCTATCACAGGCCTCAGTCTGGGAGTGAAATCACTGGGAGCCAAAAATCAATAAATAAAATAAAAATTAAAAAAAAAAATAGCTAACCTTGTATTTAATCTGAGTCAGAAACCTGTGGCCTGAAGTCATTATAGAGAGTAGAGCCCTGCAGGGTGTGGTGGCTCATGCCTGTAATCCCAGCACTTTGGGAGGCTGAGGCAGACGGGTCACTTGAGGCCAGCAGTTTGAGACCAGTGTGGCCAACATGGCGAAACCCTGTCTCTACTAAAAATACAAAAATTAGCCAGGCATGGTGGCACACACCAGTAATCCCAGCTACTCAGGAAACTGAGGCAGGAGAATCACTTGAACCCGGGAGGCTGAGGCTGTAGTGAGCCAAGATTGCACCACTGCACTCCAGCCTCAGCAACAGAGTGAGACTCTGTCTCAAAAAAAAAAAAAAAAAAAAAAGTCGAGCCCTAAAAGCTAGATTACAAGGGCTAGTCATGAAATAAAATGGAGTAAATCACCATAATGGGATTAGAGGCTGCAAGGGTCCTACCCAAAGGAATCTTACTGAAGATATACCCTGTCACTCACTTAGTATGTAAGTGTGTGAGCACAGGCATATACGTACATGTAGATTAAAGAAAGGCCTCAAAAAGATGGCAACAACAAGAAGGGGGTCTTCAACTGCCTTACTAAAATATGAACTCTTTGACTTTACTTTTTAAATAAGTGTTTTCCAACATGCTCCATGGAATACTATTCTTGTATCATGCCCCATAGTTAATAAGACTGAGAAACAACACATATGATTATAAGATAGGGAAACAAAGCATATTATAGGCTTCTCTTATAGATTCCCAACAGACATAACAACATTAAAGGTTGTGAGAAGTTCTATAGTAAAGAGATTGTTTAACATTTGTTAATATAAGATAGTTCAACTCATTCAGCAGATACTAAAATCTCAGCAGATCAGTTCATTAGCCCTTAGTCGGGGAAAAGATTGTCCTATTGAATGCTTTCCATGAAATTGCCATGCTATTTAGCATGACATCAAGGCTCTATTATTGACTCCAAATCACTTTTATAGACTTGTCACCTACTCACTGCCTGCAGAAAATACTGATCCAGCCGCACAGGTTCACTCTTAAATCCTAAACGTGACATACGTTTTTATGATACGATTCCTTTCCTACATTCAGTAACAGTCTTTACCCATCCTTTAACTAAACTCAAAATATTACATCCTCTGTGATGTCTCTCCCCATTCCCCATTCAAAATGTGATATTTCTTCCTCTAAATCTTTACAGCAATGTCTTAGGTCTCTTTTAAGCATTAGTTTGACTCAACATTAGTATTATTTGTTGAGTTTAAATATCTTTGTAAGTGTTATTAGAAGTTATCTCCTTATACCCTGTTGTCTAGCACAGTAATATGAATACAAAGAGAAAGCCAAAATAGGTTAAATTAAATTGAATTATACAAAGTTAAATTTAGAAATTTATGAAATGGGAGATTGCACAATGATGATATAGAAAAACAACCATATGTGGCTATATCCAGGCATCAACTTTTTTTTGCTCTTTCATATCAGATAAAAACGTGATACTATGGACTCCTCAAGGTTAATCAAGATGGTTCACTGCTGTTCCCTTGAGATAATCCAGCATCGTCTCTTCATATTGCACTTTTTCAAACCAGAAAACCTGGAAATGACACTTTCTATGTGTTTAAATATCAGAAATTCTCCAGTGCAATCTTTGGCTCTCGTATTCCTCATTTCAGAATGCTCTTCTGGAAATAATAAGGCACCTGGGCCCCTTATGTAACTCATCTTTTTCCATCAACATAGTGAAAAAAGTTTCACTTCAGCATTAATGGGGAATCTCATATTGATTTGTATGCAAAAGTATAATGGGAATTATTATGCCTGTACCTGAGAAAAGACATCGTCATAGCAGGGTGGCATAGAAAAAAAAAAAAATCCGCAAGCTTTGAAGGCAGACAGTCCTGAACTGAATTCATGCCCACTACTTCTCAGCTGTATAACTTTAGGGTAGTTCAGTTACTCTCTAAATCTACTTTCTTTATTCATAGACTAAGAACAGTAAGAGCTGTTTTGCAGTATTATTATTTAAATTAAATGATAGATTATAGTAAAAATGCCTTACATTTAGACTACCTTATGCCAGATATTTTCCATATATGAAGCTTATATATATTCTTGGTTCTTTATGACATGAACCCATGACATATTGAGCCTAGGCACATATGAAGAAACCAACACTTATTTATCCTGTACATAAGAATTTTTGGTAACCTGTAGACAGATACATAATCAGATAATTATCAAATCATCAAAAATAATCAAATAAATGTAACAATAGAGTTATTAGAGTAATTTGAAAACACAAAGAGCTAGTAAATGTTGGAGCCTTGAAGGGTAGATAGCACTGCTCTTTTCTACTTGTCTCTTGAATTATGACAATGAATCAAATAACTAGAAGTGAAACCTTCTAATACTGATAAATTGTGGGGTTGTGGTACATAGTTCAACAGGAGGGCAAAATGGATTCACCAACTCCTATGATGAAACAGAAGTAACCAGTCCTAAGAACTGTGAGCCATCCCAAGGGAAGGGGGTCTTAATACTCTACTTGTGAAATGGCCCAGAGCAGTGATGATTGCAAACTCTCAGCTGGCATGCTGGACCTCAGAGAAGAAAGAGAAAAGTGGACCTCACATGCCCAGCTCATTCTTAGAAAAATTATCAGGCAAAAATATGTCACCTTCCTGGAGTGGAATAAGTGGAGAGATGAAAGAGGCCAAAATAACTTACTACAGTTCTCTTGGATGTTAGAGTGGGAAGGAATACTTTTTTCTCTCTAAAAATACCTGATCTATTTTAGGCAAGATGACATGTATTTGTATTTGCCAGGATTTTCCTAGTTTACACCTGTTTTCCCAGTGTAATTATGCATTGTGTTCCTTTTTATTCTCAAAAGAGTTCAAGTTTGCATGATAAATTATGTGGTCATCTTAATATTAGAGGATAAGGCAGATTTCTCTGGAGGTACAGATTGTGGCACGGTCTTTCAGAATGAGTAAGAGTTATTGCATCTAAGAGAGAACAGATGAGGCGTAGGAATGAGGAAAGGGAGAGGGATGGGGAAAGAGAAGCACAAACCTCAGGAAAGCATGGAGAAATGGCTGAACAAAGAAAGTGTGGTTTTTGCTGAAATTACAAAAATGTATATGCTGTTACAGCATCAAATGTAAGAGAGAAATGGTAAAAGAAGAAAGTAAATTTGGGTTTCTGTTGGGAAAAAGGGAAGGTGGGATCCTTTGCTATTTATGGGCTTTTTTGTAGCACGGCTTAAAATATCAATTATTTTCATTTCAACATAACTCGACTGTCTGGCTTCCTAAGAACCTTCACAAAAATATGACTAAGGAGATAGATAGATAGATAGATAGATAGATAGATAGATAGATAGATAGATAGACAGACAGATAGATATAGATAGATAGATACAGATAGATAGATTTCTTCTATTATTTCCCTATCATTGTAGCTTGTGGTATGTAGTTTCTTTATCAGATAAACTAAAGGACTATTTTGAGACACTTAAATCATACTGTAAAACATTGAAAACATTATTAGAAGCATTGTTAGAAGCATTTTGAGTTTTTTAATTTTTCCAAAACATTTAAAAAATTATACTATGTTTAAACTCGTGACATCTAAAAAAAATTTAAAATTTTTAAAAACGCTTTTCTCCAAATTTATATATTTCAATCAAATTTCACCTTTTATTTATCAAGTAGCACTAAGCCCCACCGTAAAAATATTTATTCACTTAACAGAAATGGAAAGACACTTCTTAGTTTCACCCCATTCTGCTTTTTCTCAATTTCTTTTTTTTTTTTTTTTTTTTTTTTTGAGACGGAGTCTCGCTCTGTCGCCCAGGCCGGACTGCGGACTGCAGTGGCGCAATCTCGGCTCACTGCAAGCTCCGCCTCCCGGGGTTCACGCCATTCTCCTGCCTCAGCCTCCCGAGTAGCTGGGACTACAGGCGCCCGCCACCGCGCCCGGCTAATTTTTTGTATTTTTAGTAGAGACGGGGTTTCACCTTGTTAGCCAGGATGGTCTCGATCTCCTGACCTCATGATCCACCCGCCTCGGCCTCCCAAAGTGCTGGGATTACAGGCGTGAGCCACCGCGCCTGGCCGCTTTTTCTCAATTTCTATCCATTAAGCCCCGACTAATCTCCCAGATGTTTTACACGTTATCATTTTATTATCCACAACAAGACACAAGTCCTAAGTTTATACACAAGGAATTAAAGACTCAAAGATAGGTAAGATAATATTCAACCTAAATCATGTCACCAATAACTATCAAAACTCAACTTTAAATCCAAATCTGTTTGCTTCAAAATCAAACGACCTTTTGACTACAACATGTTGCCTCCTTTGCATTACCATGCTTTTTATTAGATTCAAAAAGAGTCTTAGAATGTTTCTTTAAACATTATCTAAACATTAGCTGTTTTTAAATTATTCAACGTACAGGACAGTCATATCAATCAGAAGAAATCAATCAGAAGAAATCAAATGATGATTTAATGATAACCACATTAAATCAGTTGTACACCTGTAAAAATACATCACAACTTCATATTCTGAGGAAACTTTCTCCACTACCATAATTTTTAAGAACTAGAACAGAAACAAACAAGAGGAGGAGGAGATGTTTCCACTGTTTCTCTTCTATAACCCTAAAGTATTGTCTGCTGTATCTCCTAGTGTCTCTATCACTACCTTCAATGCTAAATCACTATTTAGTGGAGTGTCAAATTATTCCTCTTTGCTACTCACTCTTTTTCTCTTTCACCTCATTTGAGCCAATAGATATGTTGTTTGAGAGGCAGAAAAAAAATCAGATTTAAATAGTCCTATAGCACTTCTGAGACTGCTCTAAATTTCAAGCTAATCTATTTATATTTTGTCATTAACTATGCACTCTTTAAAATAATTTCCCAATTCTTTTTCCCATGAAAAAGTTTCATGCGAAACTCTAAAAAAGTTCTTATGAGTCAGACAGAAAAATATTTCTATTTTGACAGACAATATCTATACATTACCAAGTGCAACAACAATTTAGGAAGCATGCATTCATTCTAAGACCTGACCCACAGACAAGAACAAACAAATATTAAAGACTGTGATTCCTGAACTATATAAAAAGAATCCTGAGCTTTTATGCTTTTATAATCTGGGAGTAATTGTATGAGTACTATGTTGAAATGCTAGAGGATAAAGAACAAATTATGCAGGACTAAGAGTTGCTGATCAATGATATTTTGTAATGTTTATTTGTCATGGAGAGTCCCTGAAAAGTAAAATGTCCATGAGACTTTCCAATATCTCCCATCTATAAACCAAAATGCCTCTTATGTTTAACCTAGATACCTCATGGCAGGCACATTTTAGTGAATACTTTTGTTTCTTCCCAGTATCTCTCATTCAAAATACTCTAGAAAAGCAAATCAATAGCTGATTGTTCCAAAAACTGTTTGCTTTATCATCCAAAAGTCAAATAATTTTAACCTTTTGTAGAGGACTAATTTTGAAGAATTCCAACTGTTTTTTAAGGTTCCACTCTGAACCATCTCCTAACATAACAAGGATGTGATGAAAAATTAAATAAAGGACTCAATTAGAGTCCCACTGATAATTAATAGATTAACTCCCCTAACATGGGTAAACTCCATCATGATACTTAAAAACTGAGTTCAAAATATTAGCAATGGCTAATAATATTTGCCTAAAAATTTCTCTGAACTCTATAGGTAAAAAAGGCAAATTTATTATACCATGAAAATGCCTATTTTTTTTATTATTTATGCATCACTCTTGGTTATTTTATCCCTTGCTCTTCAGTTCACCATAGAATTGCATGCCTACTGATACAAGGAAACAGAACAAAGAAAATAAAAATATGTCAAAATTTCTGGCTTTCAAGTAAAATAATATAGAAAAATAGATGGAAAAAAGCAAGGACCACTGTGAAATACCAGAAAATATTTTCTTGCTGAGGGGCGGGGGAGAGCTAGAAGGGAGTAAAGAGATCATTGAAGTGACTATGGCTGAGGAAGGAGTCTGAGGCGCACCTACGACTGGGGCTCCCTCCTGCAAAGCTTCAGTGGGGCAAAGGATGACTGAGGCTCCTAACTTAATGGAAAATATGGTTTCCATAGAAATTTTATAGAAAATTCTAATTTTCTAGAAAACAGAAAAGCGGAGAAACGTACCTCATATCAGAATCCCAGAGAAACAGGAAGATCATAGACATGGTTGTATGATCCATCTGGGCAGTTTCCCCACTTCCTGGTATGGAACAAAAGAAGTAAAATTACCCATGTGCAGTATTGCGAAGGTATCTAGGCAAAAAAAAAAAAAAAAAAAATGCTGCTTTTATTGTGAGCCCATACATTTAAAAGGTGGGGTTGGGTAGAGTGGGTGACCAAGCATCCATCCTCTAGGCAGATACCATGACATATATAAATCTCCCCAGAATGTAAATGTACCTCTAAGAACATAGAGAATGATCCTGTATTACTGGAGTTGTTTTTTGGTTTTGGTTTTAGCTTTGGTTGGTTTTACCACTCACAGAATAAATTCTAGACATTAAGTAATATAAGTTAGAGAAAAATCATGAAATGTGTTTATGTTTTAAATTGATACCTGCAATAAAGTATTCAACAAGTATTACATTATCATTATACATTTTTACCAAATTTAGATTTAATAAAACTAGATGACGTTTATTTTGTATTTACTCTTAATCATTTACTATGTTCAACATTTTATACACGTTATCTAATGTAATCCTCAGAAAAATCTGATAAGGTGGGTGTTACTATAATTGCTAGTTTGCTGATGAAGATAATGAGGCTTAGAGAGGGTTAGTAAATTATCTAAGGTCATAGAGTTAGTAAAGGACAAAGTTGCATCCAAAGGGACACCTGTTTGCATCCAAATTTAATGCCTTTAATCCATGCGCAGTGCCAATTTAATGCAGAAAGGAGACACTCCCTAACATTTTCTAGAAACAAAGAACTTTATCTTATTCTTTATATAAAGTTCTGTTGCTTAGAACAAATCTTTCTCAAAAAAAATTTAAAGTTTAATCATCTTCATTTCTTCCACTTTTAAATGTGGCCCATACAGATACCACACCCCTGTCTTTGACATAATGGTTAAAGACATATGCTATCCAATTCTTTTTTATGAGTTTTAGTTATTTTCAAAAATAATTAATTTGGGGTTAACTTTTGGTACCCATTTGCTTTTTCTCTCTGGATGTTCTTCAGTGTTCCCTACAATGTTGAAAATTTATTCTTAAAGTGCTGTGCTGTGTAATTTTAATAATCACTCTTTTGTTCTGTCATAAAATGCATTTAATTTTTGAAATAAAATCTTTTTTATTAAATTCATCTTCACATCATGATTAGTGTTCCAATCCAATAGTCTGAGTAAGAATTCAGAGACTATTCATGATATGAATTTAATTGAGTAAGGAGGATACTCAACACTAATCAGCTGAGAGAATGGTGATTAACAAGGTTAAGGGCAAAAGAAGGAAGCAGGGATTTGGGGAAAAGTTGGATTTCTGTGTAGAGCATGTTAAGTATAGAGGTAATTTGGAGATGTCCAATAGACTTGGAGAAATTCAGCTTTGTGTCTCCAGAAAGAGGACAAAACTAGAGGCCAATATAAAAAGGGAGAAATGGGCAGATGGCTGGAGTCTAAAGTAAAATTTTTCTGACACTCAAATGTGCTCACAGGAAGACTGTAGAAATTCCAAGGTCACCAGAATAACCACCCAATGAATTCTGGATCTCTTTTCTGTCATTTTTCCTACAAATATTATTTTTTGTTTGTTTATTGTCAGAGTTTTTTTATTTTATTTTTAGTTGACACAAAATGATTGTATATATTTATGGGATGCAGAATGATATTTCAATACATGTATACAATGTATAATGATCAAATCAGGGTAATTAGCATATTCATTACCTCAAACATTTATCATTTCTTTGTGTTGGAAACATTCAAGATGCAGTCTTCTAAGTTTTTGAACATATACAACAAATTATTGTTAACTATATTCACCCTACAGTGCTGTAAAATACTAGAATTTATTTCTTCTATCTAGCTGTAATTTTGTATTCATTAACCAACCTCTCTCCATCCTTCCTTCCCCTTTCCTCTTCCCAATCTTTAACAACCACAATTCTGCTCCCTACATTTTTTTTTTTTTTTAGATGGAGTCTTGCCCTGTCACCCAGGCTGGAGTGCAATGGCACGATCTCGGCTCACTGCAACCTCTGCCTCCAGGGTTCAAGCCATTCTCTTGCCTTAGCCTCCCAGGTAGCTGGGACTACAAGCATGCGCCACCACGCCCTGCTAATTTTGTATTTTTAGTAGAGAGAGGGTTTCACCATGCTGACCAGGCTGGTCTCAAACTCCTGACCTCAAATGATGTGCCCGCCTCAGCCTCCCAAAGTGCTGGGACTACAGACGTGAGCCATCGTGCCCAGCCCTGTTTCCTACTTCTATGAGCTGAATTAAATTTTTAGCTTCCACGTATGAGTGAGAACCTGCAGTATTTATTTTCTGTTCCTAACTTATTTCATTTAACATAATGTGCTCAGGGCGTATCCATGTTTCCACAGATTACAGGATTTCATCTTTTTATGGCTGAATACTATTCCATGGTGTATATATATCTCATTTTCTTTATCCATTCATCTGTTGTTAGATACCTAGGTTGATTCCATATCTTGGCTATTGTGAATAGTGCTTCAGTAGGTATAGGGGGTGGAGATACCCCTGCAATACATTAATTTCCCTTCATTTGGATAAATGCCAAGTAGTGGGATTGCTGGATCATATGGTAGTTCCACTTTTTGTTTTTTTGAGAAACCTCCATGTTTATCATAATGGCTATACTAATTTACATTCCCACCAATGGTGTACACCAGGTCCTTAAATAATGTTATGTCGTTCAAGGTCGCTTCATTATAACATTGATGGGATAAAAAAAAGTTGATTCCTGGCCGGGCCATTGTCCATGCGGAGTTTGCACATTCTCCCCACAGATGGTAAAAATGTTTCACTATACATCATTTTGCTTAAAGTCATATTTTCCAAGAACTTAATGGACACCATTAAGTCAAGACTTACTATATAAGAGTTCCATTTTCTCTACATCCTCACCAGCATTTGATACTTTTTGTCTTTTTGATAATAACCATTCTAACTGGGGTAACATGATATCTCATTGTGGTTTTGATAGGCCTTTCCCTGATAATCCCACCAATATTCTTTATCCACTTTCCTATAAACGTGTAAAACCCAACTCCTTTGTTTCATATACGTGGAGTGTCTTTCCAAGCCAACAACAATAGTATCAACTGATCTTGAAGAAACAAAACATATAAATTTTATGAACACAAAGGGTATTAGAAAGAAGTTATAAAAACCTTGAAATATACCAAACTAGACTTATAACACATTTTTCTACAAAAAGCAGAAAATTTTGAATGTTATTGTTTTAAAGAATATCTATGCATATGAGGCCTTTCCTATGTACTTGTTCAAAGATGTGCTTACTAGAGGAGTAGCTAGACTGATAGATTAAGCATTTCCTTTCAGCTTCTTAAACTACTAGACTGGCCATTTTTATACAATATTCAGATGTCTGGAGGTTGTAGGGTTTAATTTATACAATATTCAGATGTCTGAATGTTTTCAGGATTTTAAGCTGAGAGTGAAATATAATTTGTTACATTGCTGCACTTGAAAGACTGTTGCCCATTGAAATTATTCCCACCACTGTACTTTTAGGTTTCTGTCTCTAATGAAGCAATACAAGTTGGCTTCACCGTGAATTAGCAAAGGTGCCATTAACAATAGTGTTCAATTAATGCTAACATTTTCAATTTGTCTCATACCTCAAATTTTAATGGTTCCTTCTTAAATATTAATAACAGTAGGTACCACTGTAATAGCTGCTATAGAAACTCAAAGGGAGGTGTTAGCTATTATTAGTTTAAATTATAACACTAAAGAAACTCAGGGGTTCAAATTAAAACCCTCCACTATACATCTGAAAGGAAAATGTAAAACTCTAAGAAAAGAACTGCAATGAATGGAACTGGGGTGAGAAGAAGGAAAGCAACATTTTTCTAAATATTTTCTATTTTAACTTTTCTATTTAAAGAGAGACATAAGAACCCATACTTATTCCAAGCCTCAGAAATGTTCAATTATTCATATGGAACAAAAAAAATAGCCCCCAGATGCAATTAGACACCTGGTGGATCAGTCCCTCAGAAGGAAACCAAGAATATGTAATGTTTTCTCTTTGATACTCTTACAGAAAGAAGCTCTGTGAAAAATATAGCCATGTCTTATCTGGGACCTGGAAAGAAGAGATACAAGATACACCGTAGGCATTTTCAAAGAAAGCTTGGCCTTCTCCATTAACGTTCCAATTTTTAAAAAACAGTTACCTATGGCTTTCACAATTTTTATTTTTGCAAGCCCATTACCCTTGAAAACTGATTATCCTGCATTTTCCCAATTAAGATAGAGAGCAGAACTAGATGGGAATATCTGGTGGTATAGCCATTCAAAAGTTACAAAGGCCACAAGAAAAATGGAGAAGCTGACTCCTACCTCTGCCTAAATAAAAATAACCTAAAAGCCACCAAAATATTAAGAAAAATGTCCTGTGACATAATTTCTACACTGTTCTCTAATCTGATGAAGGCCCTCTCTTATTCTCCACTCTACCTTTGCTTAAGCTGTTCCTTCTACATGGAGACCTTTTAGAACCCCTTTTGTCTCCCCAAACCACAGGTATCATCCAGAACCAAATTCATGTTATCTTTCTCTGGAAATTACTAATTCAATTATTCCATCCCAAAAAGGGCTGTCTTCCTCCTTTTTGTACTGCTATCTTTGGGAACCTTGGCTTGTATCTTTCTTTCTTTGTTTAAATTGTCCCCCAGCTGGAACACAAATACTTTGAGAACAAATGCATCAGTGTCATATCATACCTCTGATAATGGTAATAAAGGAATCTGTAGATACCTAAGCCAGCTAACACACTGATCTTCGAGTCTTGGCTTCTCACTTACCAGCTACATAATTTTGGGCAAACATACAAGTGTTATTTGCTTCACTGTCTTTCTTATAAGGACTAAGTAGGATCTTATATGTAAAGTAGTTAGCACATGCCTAGCACACAATAAGAACGTAATAAATGTTAGAGGATATATAATTCATTCAGCAAAGAAAAGCGTAGATGAACCAATTTGTAAAACTTTAGGGGGCATTATTCATATTGAAGTCAATGTGAATAGCACCATGGAGCTCTACCTTTATATTGTGAATTGCATAGATATATCATATTCACTATCTTTTTTTTCTTCTGTTTGACTCTGTGCTAATCTTTAAGAATACAATAATGAAAAAGACCGAATTTATTTGCTCTTCTGTAAATTACTATCTATTATAAAAAGTAGTTTCACTATATAACTGTAAAAATGATAGTCATTAGACTCCCCCAATATTTAGTGTGGGAGTTGAGTTCTTTATCCCGATGGCATTTTATGACATTACTTTGCTGCCAACTACCAAGTTCAAAGTTTTGATAGTACATGTCAGACAGACATGATCTGCCAGCATGCATTATTCCTCCCTACTGATTAATCTCTAAAGATAAAATGAACATTTAAAGCCATGGGATTCTCCAAGTCCAAAAGTGAATAAGGATCTAAAAAGTTAAAAAAGTCTTTAATGTGTTTCAAAACCCTCTGTCTCAGCTGTGCCATACAAGCTGTGAGACATGCCTCTTGTTAGCTAAAATTTGAGAATTCATCCCTATTTTAGTGGCTTTCTTTTTACTTTCTATTTCTTTGCCCTATGCATCTCCTTCTTATTGGTCTTTCATCTCCAAATAATAACTTTCTTCTGACTGGTGAGTCATATATGGTAACCAGTAGCAGATTACTGGTAGAGGTTTCTCTTGGGTTAGCATAAATGGCCACATCAGACACAAAGATGTCCTTGCATGTCACCATTTGGTGAAAACTGATAACTTTGATCCCATTCTTTTAAAACTGTGCCCTAGATTTCAGATATATGAAAACATCAACAATTTTGTCCCACTGAATATTTAGTAGATATATCATGTATCTACTAGTCTTAATATTTAGAATTTATTAAGGCAAACAAGTGGATAGGAAACTATCAATAACATGCTTGAGTAGTGGACTAGTTATAAATGCATCTGAATCTATATCAGAACAATATTCAAGAGGGACCCCTGGAACTATGTGAAATCAGAGTAAGACAGTACTCCATACCCGCACCACAACATCTTGCTTTAGCAGAAGTCAAATATGAGCTCTGCAATTCTATGTTGTCCTGGAGAGATCTTCTTTTCTGCTCCCCTTCAATACCCTGGCCTGGCATTCATACCATTGCTTTGAGATGATTAACAACAATTATACCACGCCTTTGTCCTTATTCTCATGAGTCATTTTAAAACCAAAAGACAACAAAAACCCTTTATCTCCCAAAGCAGGCCTTATGACCACATTCTAATCCTATCATAGGTTATTATAGTACCTTTTTTTTAAAGCCTATATCCCACCACTCTCTACTTCCAAAAATCCCCTCACTATATCCAGTGAAACCCATTATCATTCATCAGAAAAAAAATCCTGTATATCTTTAACCTCTACTCTGAATATTTCCTATGTTTTCTTGCTTTTATGGAAACCAGTTTTTCTTAGAGCACTTTTTTTCCTTGTCAGTCTTTTCAAGTGGGGAAAGTCTATACTCCTCTGCTCTACATGGGAGACAGATGTGTCCCGTGATCTTCATTGTCAGTTTCAAATAAACCTTCTTAAAATCCCACAAACTTTGAATCTTATTCCATAAGGCCATAACACGCTTTACTTCTTTTTACCATACTTATCTATGAGAAATAAAAGTGAAAATTCTAAGCCCTCCAACTGGCTGAATGGGTCATCTCTTGGCCATGGGGACCATGGAATAAGCTTGGTCAGCCCTGAAAGAGGTTAGGAGGTCAGACATGCCCTCTTACAGTCCCTTCCTTGCTAACCACTACTAGTCTTTCTTCCTAAACAGAAAGCAGTCCTTTCAAAAGACTCCACAACCAATATCAACCAACTTTCTGAAACTGCACCTCCTTTTTTCCCTGATAAGAGACCACCAACCATGGAGTGGTTCTGGCCAGATTATGGACAATGTGCAATAAGGGTTTTCATGTCCTCTACTTCACTGTTTGATGTTAGAAGGCTGAAAACTGCACCCATGGATCATGCTAATGCTGTCATGTATTTTTTTTTTTTTTTGTACCTGAGGCCCATGAAGGAGCATAAAGCCCAATTGTGCACGTGCACATTTCACCTTTAATAAATATTCATGATTCCTCCTATAGTTTACTGAATATATATGTTCAGCCACCCAGCTCAGCATAAATTCCTCCAAGTGTTTGTCTCTGGCTTCTGCACAGAGGCTACACTTTCCAGCCTGTCAGAATGGCCACCCTGCAGGCTATAAGCTTTTATGAGAAATAAAGCTCACCTTTCCAAATCTATGAACCTCATCTTTCTTCAGTTGACATCTATAAGCCCCTGGTTCTCACCTCCTTGTGCCTATAAGCTTCTAGATCCTGATTGACTGGCACTTTCTCTTATAACAGCGTTCTAGAATCTGCTATCCATTGATCCCAATATCTTTTTTCTGTCCCTAAACCTCATTCTACATTCACTTCTCACTTTAATCCCCTTAAATTTCATTGCTCATCATTAAAATTACTTCCTTATATATACCATGAACTTCTTCATTTTTCTTTTACTCCTTAGTTGCTTGAGAAAAATCCATACTGCAGATACATCCATTGATCCACACTACACAACTGTACCTCCTCAGCTGAACATAGTTGGTAGAAAACACAACCACACACAAATATCTCTTTACATTCATGATCCTGATCTTATTCTGAAGACCACTACAGTCATGTGCCACATAACAACCTTTCAGTCAACGATAAACTGGATATATAACAGTGATCACATAAGATTGTAATGGAGTCAAAAAATTCCTATTGCCTAATGACATCTGTTGTAGCCATCATAACATCACAGCACAATGCATTATTCACATGTTTGTGGTGGTACTACTGTAAACAAACCTACTGCACTGCCAGTCACATAAAAGTACAGCACATACAACTATGTACAGTATTTAATACTTGATAACAATAATAAACAACTATGTTAACAGCTCATGTATTTACTATATTATATTATACTTTTTAATGATTATTTTAAAGGGCACTTATTCTACTTATGGGTGAAAAAAAGCTAACTGTAAAACAGCCTCAGGCAGGTCCTTCAGGATGTGTTGCAGAAGAACGCATTGTGATCATAGGAGATGACAGCTTCATGCATATTATTGTCCTTCAATACCTTTCCATGGAACAAGATGTGGAGGTGGAAGACAACAATACTGATAATTCCAACTTTGTGTAGACCTACGCTAATGTGTGGGCTTGGGTCCTAGTTTGTACCAGAGTTTAAAAAGTAAAATAATAATAAATTTTAAACATAGAAAAATTATGTAGAATAAAAATATAAAGAAATTATTTTTGTAGCTATACAACGTGTTTTGTGTTTTAATTTTTGTAGACATATAGGTATCTATATTTATGGAGTACAAGATATATTTTGATACAGGCATATAATACATAATAATCACATCAGAGTAAATAAAGTATCCATCACCTCAATAATTTATCCTTTCTTTGTGTTACAAATAATCCAACTATACTCTTTTAGTTATTTTAAACTGTACAATAAATTACTGTTGACTGCAGTGACACTGTTGTGTTATGAAATACTAGATCTTATTCAGTCTATCTAATTATATTTTTGTACCTGTTAATTATCCCCACTTCTTCCTACCCCACTACCTCTCCCAGCCTCTGGGAACTATCATTCTCCTCCCTATCTCCATTAGTTCAATTGTTTCAATATTTGTAGCTGCCTCAAATGAGTGAGAACATGTGAAGTTTTTCTTTCTGTGCTTGGATTACTTCACTTAACATACATGTTGCAAATGACAGGATCTCATTCTTATTATGGCTCCATTATGTGTATGTATACCATTTTCTTTATGCATTTGTTTGTTGGTAGATATTTAGATTGCTTACAAATATTGATTATTGCAAATAGTGCTACAATAAACATGGAAATGCAGACATCTCTTCAATAAACTGATTTCCTTTTGGGCGAGCATATACCTAGCAGCTGGATTGCTGGATCATATGGTAGTTCTATTTTTAGTATTTTGAAGAATCTCCAAATTGTTCTATATAGTGGTTGTACAAATTTGCATTCCTACCAACAGTGTACAGGTGTTCTCTTTTCTTTGCATCCTCACCATAATTTGCTATTGTCTGTCTTTGGACAAAAGCCATTTTAATTGGGGTGACTCACACCAATGTGTCCTGTATGTGGGACATGGAGTCAAAGGAGATTATTTTGGAGCTTTAAGATTTAACGACTGAACTTCTGTGTTTCTAACTTGCATGGGACCTGTAGCTCCTTCCTTTCGGCCAATTTATCCCTTTTGGAACAGGAGTATTTACCCAATGCTTATACCTCCATTGTATCTTGGAAATAACTAGGTTGTTTTTGATTTTACAGGCTCACAGGCAGAAGGGACTAGCCTTGTTTCACATGAGATTTTGGACTTTGGACTTTTGAGATAATGCTAGAATGAGTTAAGACTCTGGGGGGACTGTTGGGAAGGCATGATTGCATTTTGAAATGTGAGAAGGACATGAGATTTGGGGCCAGGGCAGAGTAATGTGGTTTGGATCTGTGGACATGAGAAGGGGCCAGGGGCAGAATAATGTGAATTGGATCTGTGTCCCTGCCCAAATCTCATGTAAAATTGTGATCCCCAGTGTTGGAGGTGGGGCCTGGTGGGAGGTGATTGAATCATAGTAGAGATTTCTCAGGAATGGTTTAGTGCCATCCTGTTGGTGCCTTCCTCAAGATAGTGAGTGAGTTCTTATGAAATCTGGTTGTTTAAAAGTATGTAGAACCTCTCCCTACTTTGCTCCTTCTCTGGCCATGTGATGTGTCTGCTCCCCTTTTGCCTTACACCATGATTGGAAGTTTCTTGACGTCTCTCCAGAAGCCAAGCAGATGCTGGCATCATGTTTCCTGTACAGCCTGAAGAATCATGAGCCAACTAAACCTCTTTTTGAAAAAATAATTACCCAGTCTCGGGTATTTCTTTATAGCAACGGAAGAACAGCCTTACACAAAGAGTGAGGTATTTATGTTAGTCTTCATACTCTGGGCTTGTTTGTACCTATCCTTTTTTTAGGATGGCTCTCTAGATATTTGAAGAAACTTGGGTATTGTGATGTAAGTCTTTGAACACTCCAGCTTCATTTGCTTTAGGGGGCATCCCAAGCCCAGTAATTTGCCAGCTCTAGCAGACTCATAGACGTACCACCTTGGTGGTCTTAGTAAGCTCTGAAAGAACTCCCTGGATTACCAGGTGGACCTTTGTTCTCCTTTCCTCACATTCCTCCAAAGAAAGAGACTCTCTCTGTCTGTGCTTAGCTGCCTGGTATTGGGGATGGGTGATGCAAGCATGCCCTTGGCCACAGCCACTGGGACTGTGCTGGGTCCGACCTGAAGCAAGTACAGCACTGGGTTTCACCTAAAGCCCACAGTGACCATTGCCTGTCTACTGCCTGTGTTCACCCAAGGCCTAAGGGCTCTTCAGTGATCTTGTGGTGGATACTGCCAGTCCTTAGTCTCTCCCTTCAGGTCAGTGGGCACTCCCCTGGCCCAGGGAAGGTCTAGCAATGCTGTCTAGGAGCTAAGGCCTAGAATCAGTGACCCTAGGAGCCTGCTTGGTGCTCTACCCCACTGTGGCCGAGTTAGTGCCCAAGCCACAAAACTAAGTTCCCTTTACTCTTTCCTCTCCTTTCCTCAGGCAGAAGGGGTTTATCCCCATAGCCACTATAGCTGAGAATGTGCTGAGTCACACTTGAAGCCAGAAGGCCTCTGAATTTCACCCAGTGCTCACAACAAGTACTGCCTGGCTACCAATGCTGATTTTTCAGAGCCCAAGGGCTCTTTATTCAGTAGGTGATAAATCCTGTCAGGACTGCATTCTTCCCTTGAAGAAAGTGGGTTCCATTCTGGCCCAGCGTATGCTTAGAAATCTCATGGAGGAGCTAAGGCATAGAAAGGGGGCCTCCGGGCTCTGCCTGGTGCCCTATTCTATTGTGGCTGAGCTGGTCTCCAAGTTGCAAGACAAAATTCTCTTTAATCTTCTCTCCTCAAGCAAAGAGAAGTAGTCTCCCAGGGCTGTGGTTGAGGGAGGGGTAATGCAAGCACTCCCTTGGATGCCTCACCTGGTGTCCCACTAGATTGTACGTACCACAAGTCCACTGGTTCTGAGACTAGCACAGCACCAGGACTTCCCCAGGAATTGTAGTCCTTGTGGCCTAGACTGCCTGTCAAGTTTATTTTGAACCCCAGAACACTTTGGCCCGCCATGGAAGGTCTTGTCGAAACTCAGGTTTCTGCTGAGGGATGAGGGAGGAGTAGTGTAGGTGATTCAAGACCTTCTTTCCTACTCTCTTCAGTGCCTCTTGCCTTGATATGATGTTAAAAGCAGGTACTGTGATAATTCATTTGATTTTTGGTTCTTATGAAGGTGACTTTTTGTGTAGAAAGTTGTTCAATTTGGTGTTTCTGCCAGGAGGAAAGTAGCTAGAGGCATCTACTTGGCCATTTTGTTCCACCTCCCACAATGTATTTGTGTTTTAAACTGTTATTACAAAAGAGTAAAAAAGTTTTAAAAAATTAAAAAGTTTATAAAATGAAAAAACTACAGTAAGTTAAATTTATTACTGATAAAAGAATTTGTTTTATAAATTGAATTCAGCTTAAGTTTACAGCATTTATGAAGTCTACAGTAGCGTACAGTAATGTCCTCAGCCTTCACATTCATTCACTCACTGACTCACCCAGAGCAACTTCCAGTCATGCAAGCTCCATTTATGTTAAGTGCCCTATAAAGGTATATCACTTTTTATCTTTTATACCATATTGGTTTTTGCTGTACCTTTGTTAACCTTTTATCCTATATTGTTTTTACTGTAATTTTCTATACTTACAAATACAAATATCACTGTCTTACAATTGCCTACAGTATTCATCGCAGTAGCACGCTGTACAGGTTTGTAGCCTAGAAACAATAGGCTAAGCCACATAGCCTAGGTGTGTGAGAGGCTATATCATCTAAGTTTGTGTAAGTCCACTCTATGATGATTGTGCAATGATGAAATTGCCTATTGACAAATTTCTCAGAACTTATCCCCACTGTTAAGTGACACATGCCTGCATTATATTGCTGTCAAGCAATTGTGCTACATTTCTCTAAGCTACTCTCCCAATTACCATATTTCATACTCTTTCTTCATATATCTCCAAAATCTTCTCCTCATAGTCACTCTACTGATTTTATTTTCAATTTCACTTCTACCCAGTCTTAACACCACATCTACCTAACCTTCTTTACACTCGTGCCCACATAATCTGCCTTCCCACCAGCTTGCCCCATGCTTTTGTAAATGATCCAGACACCAAGTAAGACCACTACTTTCACTTTTCAGTTCCATCCCATTTCTTCTCCCCTATTTAAGGACACTGCCCACACACTTTTTCCTCATTCTCCTACTTCATCAGTTCCATCTTCACACAGCACATTGTAATTTCTGCTTCTCTCACCTCATTGAAAAAAAAAAATCCTCTCTTTCGATTCCATTTCTCCTCCAGCTAACTCTATATTTTTGTGACTTCATACGACAAAATCCTTTGAAAGATTTATTTATACTTATTTTCTTCCAACTTAGCACCTCTTGTTTTTTCTCCAACCCACTCATTTTCCTTCTACTACTCCACTGTAACTCTTATTCAAGGTAGAAAATAATTTATGATCTGCTTATTCCAATGGTTAAATCTATCTTCATTTCATTTGACTTATTAGTGGCATTGTACACCACTGATTATTCCTTTCCATGGGAGAGAAAATAAGACAAAACTCTCTCCTCTCAGCTTCCTAATTCTACACTCTCCTGATTATTTTCCTACCTTACTGGCTCCTTCCAATCAGACTCTTGCTTGTTCTTTCTCACTTTCCTCAACTTTTAATATAAGATGCTTCAGGTCTCAGCACTTGTATGATTTCTCTTCTCTTTCTATACTTATTCGCTTGTCAATCTTACCCAATATTACAGTTTTGAATAGCATCTGATGATAACATTCAGGTCAGAGTTCTTTCTGATCTCCACATTTATATATAAAAATGTACAAGTAAAAATAATGTTGATGTCCCATTTGTGGGTCCAGTAGGCTTCTCAAACTCACACGTTCAAAATTGTAGTCTTGATCTCCCTATCAAAACTTTCTTCTACTATATTTTTCCCTTTCTAGGTAAATGGCAACACCATCATTCCAATAGTTGTTTTTTAAAAGTATAATTTTTCTCTTATATGCCATATCTAATTCATCCACATCCCTGTTCCAAACACATCCAGGATCTGACCACAGGTCTCCACTTCTACCATTGTCTCTCATCTGGATTAATCAACAACTTCCTGACTTTTCTCCCTGCTCCTGTTCTTGTCCCCTACAATCCGTCTTCAACACAGAAGTATACCTTCGTGTGTCATGCAAAATAAAAGCAAATTCCTTACAGCAGCCCACACAGTCCTAGGAAGTGTATCCCTTCCCCTTGGTTCTCTGATCTCATTTCTTACTCCCCTCCCTACTGTTCACTGCTCCAGCCACACCGTCCCTACTGCTCCTCAAATACATCAAGCCCATTTTTGCCTCAGGGCTTTGCATATGTTTCTCCCTATGCCTAAAATGCGATTTTCATAGATGTCCACATGGCTCATTCTCTTGCCTACTCTTGGTTTTTGCTCAAATGTCCCCTTTTCAGTGAAGCTACCCCAAACACCGTAATTTAAATTTCAGGCCTCTCTCCATTATTACCTTTCCTTTCCCTCCACTGTTTTTCTCCATAGTGCTTTGACTCATCTAACATGTTTTATATTTTAATTACTTTTTAAAATATCTTCTTGAATCCTCTTTCTTTCCTCTCCCCAAAGACTTCACCAGAATGTAAATTTCTTTGAGTACAGAATTTTGAATCTGTTGTTCGCTGCTGAATCTCCAGTGCCTGGTTTAGTGCCTGGTAATCAGTAGATGCTAAATTAATGTGTTGAATAAATGAATACAAATCAAAAGAAAAAAAAATCAAGTACTTTTCCCTCCTTCAGACATTCCAAGCTCTTTTATCTTCCCTTTCTGCATCCTATAAGCAATTACTTATTTTATAAAACATTTTCTACTAATCACTAATATCTCATTAGAAATTTTAGTTATTCAATTTCTATTTTCATAACACTTTCCTTTTAAATGCCTAATGTCACGTATGCATTTCAAGAGTGTGTACCACCATAAACAAGCATCAGGTGATAGAAGAATGTTAGTGCTTCTTTTATGTACCCTTAAATTTACAGTCTTACACTGTCCCTTTTTGAATCATCTCTTCTGCCAGTCCTGGTGCACTTGCTAACATTGGTACCTTGTATAGTACAACTGAGAGAAAAATGGGGTGAGTGCATCATATTTAAACCCAGTTATGCAGTCACAGTTTTTTCATAGCTGAGTAAAACTGGCCAGGCTTACAGCTAGCTATTACTCACTTGGCTGATTTAGTCTTCTCTTTCAGCCACATAAAAATGCCACCTGCTATTCACTTGATTGAAGATGGAATGATGTGAGCATCTAATAAAGAAGACAGAAAAATAACACAGCATTTGTGATTCATGTGTTCATATTAATGCTCATTCTTTCTCCCCTTCCCTCTTTCCATCTCTCTAAGTCATATCTTTTCCGCAACAGATTATGTTTACTCCAATATTGAGCCCATTACATTATTCTATTTTTGCTTTCATTCTGGATTATTTGTTCTCAAAATATATCTCTCTATTCAATTGATTCTTCTAAGAAAGAATTATTAGTATCAAAGTCACATCACAGATTTTCAGTGAGGTGTAGCATATTCCCCCAACAGTCTAAAGAAAAGATTTATAATGTCATTGCAGAGTATCATTCAAATACCGTGGCCCATTAAGGTGCAACTGATGCTTAACAAATGTGCTTTCTTTTGAAGTGCCTATCTTTTCACAGCACAGGATAGCAATATGCCAAGGAGATAGAGATACGATGGGTGAGAGTTCAACTTGAGAATGCTATATAAGAGAGAGGCTAACTAGAGTTCAAAGGGAATTTTATGCTCATGTACAATCATATCTGAGGCAGTAGACATTCCTTAATCAGACTTTTAAATTCTCATCTACCTAGTCTAAGTCTCATATTTTCACTTATATTTTTAACTTAATTAACAAAGCAGAAGATAAAGTAGTATTTGGACTTATAAAAATGCAAATCAGGGCTGGGCATGGTGGCTCATGCCTGTAATCCTAGCACTTTGGGAGTCCGAGTCAGGCAGATGGCCTGAGCTTAGGAGTTTGAGACCAGCCTGGGCAACATGGTGAAACCCCATCTCTACTAAAATACAAAAAAAAAAAAATAGCTGGGCATGGCAGTGTGCTCCTGTCCCCCAGCTACTCGGGAGGCTGAGGCAGGAAAATTGCTTGAACCCGGAAGGCGGAGGTTGCAGTGAGCCAGTGAGCTGAGATCCTGCCACTGCACTCCAGTCTGGTGACAGAAGGAGACTCCGTCTCAAAAAAAAAAAAAAAAAAAAAAAAAAAAGCAAATCAGTTAGCAAATCAGTTACCTAGCAATAGAAAAAGAAAAATAAAAGATAAATAAATACTCTTCACATTTTACACCCAAATTTAATCCATTATTTAAGCCATATCTCAATTTTTCTTTGGGAAATACTTTCTAATATAGACTAATAGATGTGTATTTTCTACTCTTTCCTGTAATTTACCATTATTGAAGCATTTATTCCATTCTGTGTCACATATATTATTAATATATATGTCTTTCTCCATGTTCAGTTATAAGCTGCTTGAGAGCAGAAATTGTACTATTTTCCTGTTTTTACCTTTAGCGCCTTTCACAGTGCCCATTATGGAGACACTCAAAAAGTATTTGTTAAATAAAACAACTGAATTTTAATTCCAGAGATATTTATTAATACCTTCCTTTGTCAAGCATTCCACTAAACAATAGAAGTAAACCTAGGAACAAGACAGAGTGATTGCTTTTGAAAAGCTCATGGTGCATATTTTAAACCCTAGGTTGACGTGCAGCTCTGGCAATGCTATTGGGCAGCTTATATTCAGGGCTCACGGTCACCATGTCCTTCCTCACTCTGATTTTGGCTCTGCCAATAACTACAGCATCTAGTCCACTTTTTAGAAAATTAAGTTGTTTTGATATTTACAAATACATATTTGCATTGTTGTAAACTTAAAAATGTAAAAGAAAAAGTTAATAGAGGAAAACAAAAATCACCATCATCCTCAGGTCCACAGGTATCCACTGTGAACTCATTGTGTATTTCCTGTCCAGTTTCTTCTATTCATTTTGAAAATTTGTAACATAACAAGGGTCATGCTGTACATACAAAAAAAAAACTCATGGTAAATTAAACTCAATTGTGTGCGGCTATGAAAAGCAATTCAGATGTGTGTAATTCTTAGTTTCGAAGATTATTCCATGTGGACATACCTAACAATTGAAAAAGTCCAAGGCAACCCATGAGAAAATAAAAAGGAGTCTATATCTGACTTAGCATAAGAAAACTGAGTCATATTAGGAATAGGTTCTCATGTTTTTCAGCATCGGGACTCTGAGAGTCCCCCCACCGTCTTCAATTGACCTATATCGAAGTTCTAGGGAGAATCAGAGAACACACAGGAAACCTCAATCAGAAAACACTCTCCAGAGCTATATAAATTGAGGTTTCCAGAACACAGCATCCTACCTATTTACCTTGTTCTCATGGTACCTGGTCTACAACATCACATTTTCATTTAATCATTTGAAAAATACTAGAAAATACAAAAATAAGTATTTACTTATTATATCATTCTCTCTCTTTTTTTCTTCTTTCCAAAAATTTAACATAGGGATGGATAAAAAGCCTGAATTTTTTACTATTGTAAGGGGTCATCTTTCTATCTATGGTATTTCTTCCAGGCAATTGTAATGCTTCATTGAACCATTATTCTGGGCAAACATATTGATTCTTTTCATCAAAGTAAATTTTTCCTTATGGTTCCCACCACCATTATGCAGAAGTAAGTTTATGAGTACTCACTTTTCCTATGCTTATATTTCTTGAGTAATCATTTAATATACATATCTTCTTCCATTATTCTGAGAGTTTTTAGTTTATCTACATCGCCCAGCACAGTGTCTTCCAGGTAAGTGGTGCTTATGTTAACTGCTATCATCTCTTCAGTGTTTACTAAGTAAATCTTTGAAACTGTGCTAAGTACTTTAAACATGTAAGTTTAACCTTGTAAAGTATTGAAAGAGCGATACCACTGTAACCCTATATATATTACCATATATTTGAAGGACTATATAATTCCTATATAATCACATATCTACAATTCTTATATATCTTCATGTATATAGTTATAAAAGGTAACTAAAAAGTTAAGAATAATTAGAATTAAGCAACTTGTTTTATTAACTGTGAGTCAAACCACTATATTAAATTATTTTCTCAACTATCTCTTTAAATAAATAAGTTAATAAACTTCACATAAAGATGGTTTTAGGACATACAATTCTGTTTAGTCATTCTGCCTGTATATCCACTTCAAATCAATTAGCCTTATAAGGAGTAATTTTGAACATGCAATGAAAATGAAAAAAGGCTAATTTTTAATAATTCTTGCTAATGGAAATAAACTATGAAAAAAATACACCATCCAGAAATCATTTGTTTGCAGCTTTTAAGTTAATCATATGACTTTTATATGACAAGTTTACTTTCCTAATAAAACATTACTTAGGCTATATATTACTTATGCTAATACTGAAATATTATACCCTGGAATAACTTTATTTTATGTTTTTCATGATAGAAAAATAGAAAGGCAAATTCAGTCCTTATTGTTCATTCTAAAATTAAACATCTTCAGCATACAATCCTTTACATGGTATACTATTTGTAGATAACTGAGAGATTTAGATCCTAGCCTCCAAGAGTGATTAGAAAATGCTTTGAGGCGGCCGGGCGCAGTGGCTCACGCCTGTAATCCCAGCACTTTGGGAGGCCGAGGCGGGCGGATCACGAGGTCAGGAGATAGAGATCATCCTGGCTAACACGGTGAAACCTTGTCTCTACTAAACATACAAAAAATTAGCCGGGCGTGGAGGCAGGCTCCTGTAGTCCCAGCTACTCGGGAGGCTGAGGCAGGAGCATGGTGTGAACCCGGGAGGTGGAGCTTGCAGTGAGCCGAGATCGCGCTACTGCGCTCCAGCCTGGGCGACAGAGCGAGACTCCGTCTCAAAAAAAAAAAAAAAAAAAAAAAAAAAAAAAAGAAAGAAAAGAAAATGCTTTGAGACTAATGTCAACTCAACTTCTCTGTTACATGGAAGGATGAGTGCATTTCGATGAGCTTGGCCTTTCCCTTGTGAGCACTGTTTAATCCTTGAACTACTTCTATGGAACTCCAGATCTTGAGAATATAGGAGGAAAACCACTGGACTGGAGAACCTCTGAGGTCCATTTCCAAAGCCAACAATTGAAAACTTCATGACACATGGTCTTAAATGAATGTTTTATTTTGGTGTGTGCATGCCTTCGTTTTTCAATTACCCTCAGGGTTTCCTTGAAGTCAAAGACCACATTTTACATATTTTACTGAATCCACATTAAATATTCAGTAAACACTTACTAAAGCAATGAATGGACACTACTCCACAGCTACCACATCCAACATATTTCTGAAAAATAGGAACAAAGGCTTGTGTACCTCAGGGACATCTGGTTCACTACTGTGGGGGGTCAACAAAAAATACCTCCTAGCAGATATCCTCTTAACTGTAATGGTTCCTCCTGATAAGGTTTCTGTTCCATTACACACACTATTTGTGCACAAATTGTTTTCTGTAGCCACCTAAAGGATCTTTTCATTTTCATGCCTCTGGTGGTATTCAGTACACCTTTTCTCTGGTTATTGTACCTCCTATGCTACATTCATTCATCTGAGATGACATCTTTGATCTACTCACACTCAGCCACCCACTTTGATGGCCCATGGGGCCCTAGTGCCTGTTCCTGCACTGCAGTTTGATGTCTATTTGGCTATGAATGAAGATGGAAGCAGAGAGAGTGTTATCAAAAAATGAACACAAGGCCTTGGGCAGAAAAGCTCCTTTTGTAGAATATTTGCTAGGACATAAGATAGTGAGGCAGAGAGAGAGAGAGGCGGTGTCAAGAGATAATGAATTTGCCTGAGGCAAGTTAATAAAATAAAATAGACATATAATCAATGCTTTGAAGGAACACAGTGTTAAATATTTTGTCAAATTAAGCATATGTTTTTAATTTTTAATTAAGTATATAATATATATATTCTGTTTTGTAGTATATGTGTGTATGTGTGTTTTAATTTTATGTTCTGTACTTGGAAGAGATTATACCTTTGCTGGAGCACTATCTATGGCCAGGTATATTATGAATTTTTTAAAAAAACTGCTTATATAATAAGACTGAGTGATTTTTCTGTATTATTTGTTCCATTCTTTCCATTTCCCTTTCCACGCAGAAGCATTTATCCCTCCACCATGATGGTTACACCTCTACAAAATGATCTAGAAGTAAATTGGTCTACTTGAAAGTGTATTTGCAGCCATTTACCTTAAGGCTTTGAGTTTCAAAAGCTAATAACAAAGTACAGTTGACCCCTGAACAACATAGGTTTGAAGTACACTTTAAACTTTCATGTTTTCCTGAAAAGTCAAAGTATATTTAAGGTAACAACACAATATATGGATACCCAGGAAGTAATAAGAGAGAAAAAAAATCCGAAGATGTAATATTTGGTGGGGGGGGGGGGGGCGGTGGTGAGATTCTACCTGATTTATATGAGATCTTGGTAATGTCAACCAATGTTTATATTCTTGCTGAAAACCATAGGTTATACATTTGTTCATTTATTCAGCCATTCTCTTTAAAACAAAATTCATTCTCTACTATAACCTTATTAATTTTTAAATTACCTTACAATCTAAGCAAGAGATATTGGCAATGAATAGAATTACTTCCATGAACAATAACAGCAAACAAACAAAACACATGCATACATAGTAACAGAGAAGAAAACATTTCTATGCATTACTAGTCAACAGCAATTTGGCATCTTGAGCAATCAGAAGGAGTTTGGGCTTTGTGCTCTCCACATGTAATACTTTTAATTGTATTATTGCCTCAAAGCCTCAGTTTCTTCATCATTAAATTTGAAATTATAACATTTCCTTTATTATGTTATTGTGAGGGTTAATCAAACTCATGTTTGCAAATCATTTAACATATGGCTGGGAACAGAGTAGGTTCTCAATTGGTAACTCTTTGTTGTGTGATTATGATTACTATTTTATTATTAACATTATTATTATTTGCCTTATCTTGAATAATTTAGTTTTTCTTCTATTTATTTGATAGATATGAACTAGACTTTTTATTCTTGGTCATTAGCCTTCCCAATTCAGTGGTCAGCATTTTCAGTTAGGTCATTCTTCATGCTCTAAATGGAGCCATTTATCAAAACTCACCAGACTTCTTGCTCATGTACAAGAGGCCATCCTGGAATATCCTCTATCCATTGAAATGTGCACTCAGGCAGTGACACGGAAATCAGTACAGCAAAAACTAATGATCTGGTTCTATTAACAATTGCTAATTTGGGTGGTAAGTGACCTGAGATGAAGAAAACGCAATTTTGCCTGCCAATAAAATAAAAAATGGTTGCCCTTCCAGTTCCGTAGAGATTATAATCAATGATACTTTTTATTGGAATCAATTGAACTACACTGTAGACAATTAAATCCTTGTTTTGATGACGTAGGGTAAAATGAAAGCCTTGTATCTTTCATGGCTTGTACAAAATTATCTGGTATATAACAGCTTTAGCCTTAGTACTTTTTAATGGCAGGAGGTCACCTTGTTCATCTGACAGATGGACCTTCTCCTTAACCAAACAATTTTTATCTCTGCATTTAAATAAAAAGTGTTTAAAAGTTTTCACATCCTTGAAGAAGAAAATGGTTATCCTCTGCCTATTCCCAAGCAAAGGTTTTTGTTGTTCTTTTTAAAAATATACATAGTGGAATTTTGTTTATATGGAAATTGGCAACATTGAGATGCAATTTCTAACTGATTGCATTATAGACTAATTACTGAGCACTTTAAAACTCTAACACCCCTTTATTATCCAGGAAGTTATGTTATTAAACATCCATACAACATTTTTTCTAATAAG
Source organism: Homo sapiens (assembly GCF_000001405.40). Lineage (NCBI taxonomy): Eukaryota > Metazoa > Chordata > Mammalia > Primates > Hominidae > Homo > Homo sapiens. Next base: position 96,954,358 of record NC_000011.10, on the reverse strand, counting down.
GTCATTTGGATCTAATCATGCCAAAGTTCAGCTTTCTTTTCACAAGAATCATTATGGAATCAAATGTGTAGAATAAAATTTTTGTTTTAAGTTCAATTCTCCCAACATTTGGGCTTTGTCTCATAAACACTGTATTTTCAAATCAAACCACAATTTTGCTTCTGAAAGACATGTACCCTGGGATCCCCCAAACATAGTTAGTTCGATGTAACTCAAGATGGTGATGTTTCCTAAACTTCTATATCATCAGAAAGCTTTCATAGCATTAAAAAAGGGCATATGTAACTAAATTATTCTGCTAGATCTATTTTTCATGCCAAACTTACTGAGAAGTTGAAATAAGAGAAAATGCTCTTTCTTCTATGCCTTTTTCCAACTGTTTAAATTTATTTTTGTTTCAAGAATTACTGAGTACTTGTGACAACCACTGTGCTAAAAGATAGATACAGAAAGAAGAATATAAGATGCAATAACTTCCTTTTGATTTTTCATATTCCTGTTTGCATATACAGATAAGTTGGTTCGTCCTTCGACTAGATATTCCTGAAGGTGGGTTGGATGTGCTATTTGGCAGGAACAAGATGGAGCCACTTGGATAGCTGTAAAAATTGTAACATTAATATCTACTTAGTGGATATTTTGTTCAGCACAATTTATGTCTGCTTTGAAAGAACACAGCCAAATCTTTCTATCAGAAGAAATTTTAGGACACTGATGGTCAGGATCCTATTTAATTGCCGATATAGAAAGCAATTCTGGTCTAGGAAGAAATTGAGAACTGACTGAGGTAAGAATAAAAATATTTTTTAGAAATCAAAACTTTTATCTTATAATGAGATTTATAGTTTTAAATATCTGTAATTACTTCTTTGAAGTTGTAAGCACCAGGAAAAACACATGATAATTTTTTGTTATTATAGATTGGTTGATTCATTTGATTATTTTATTTAAATAAATATAAACTTGGTATCTAATTTAAAATAGAATCTGGATAAAAGACCCTAGTGAGACAGATGCTAACAGAACATTATGCACCCCAAGCAAAAGTAGAAAGATATTTATTTTATTTTCCCCTTACAATACCCTGGATAAGAAAGTCAAGGTTTTTGTGAAGCTTAATACTGACTAAATCTATACATCTCTATAAAAATTTAACTTGCCAAAATTGAGTTAAGACATATAAATAAAACATACTTTATATATTTTTTAAAAAAATTGAAGCTGAAGCTAAAAATCTTCCCAAAAGACTATGCCAGGGCCCAGGAATTTTAATTAATATAAATGAGGTTTTCTGCCTACAAAAACACATGTACTAGAAGGCTCACAGCAGTTTTATTAATAGCAATCAAATTCTTAAAAAGAGAGTACTCCACGTTTACCTGTGTAACAAATCTGCATGCCCTGAACATGTATTATGAAACTTAAATTAAATTAAATTTAAAAAACCAAGCTTCATGCCTGCAAAATCTCACATCAAAACCAAAAATATTTTAAGTGGAATCATCTAATATTACGCAAAAAGATGAAACTTTTCATGCTCATGTATTCCAAAGCTGTTAATTATAAGGAACTGCATGCCTTACTGATGTTACTCCATGCATTAATGAATGAAATGGTATTATTAAATATTTTGCTACTTCTGAAAATAAAAAAGTGCTCATGAATGTTCAAAAATGAGGAAATACGTTGAGAAGAGGGTAAGTGTTCTAGGCAGAGAAAATATAAGAAATGCGGGAGAATATGGTGTCTTCAAGGCTCCAAAATAATTTTTACTAGAATATTAAATATTAGAGAAAGAATAGAAAGTGAAGAAGCAATGAGCTAGAGATTTGGGAAAGATGCAAATAGAGGAGAGTCATTAATAAATATAAATAAATTTGGACTTTTTACCCAAGAAAGCCATGTACAAGTTTTAAGCAAAGAAGTACTGTGATCACATTGAATTGTAGTTCAGAAGAAGGTTATGGCTGCAGAGAGTAAAATGACTGATGCAGAGGGTGCTCTCGCGGATACAAGGGTATTTACATGATTGGCACTTTCATAATATTCAAGAATTGACTTAAATTTAACTTCTTAAAGAGGCTTGACTTAATTTCTCTATCTAAACATATATACCACTCTTATAGCCAATTTGGCTCTATGTCTTTCTTATACTCCTGAGTTTTAAAATGTCTTCATTATATTTTGAGTGTTTATTTTCTATTTTTTCCAAAGATGTAAGATCTGTGAGAGGTGAGCCTTTCTTTTTCTATCTTTCCATCACTGAATCACCAAGAACAGTGTTAGTACATAGTAGGTATTCAGTACATGTTATGTGAACTAATAAATGAATCCCGAAAGTACTGTATTTTAGGTGTAGTTGAACTTTTATAGATGGTACATTCATGCTATTCCCGATCTACTGCTTACACAGTATATTCCTGCTGACTTTTAATATATAAATATATATAAGCAAATGACTGAAAAGGGGTGAAAGGGGGTCTCAACTATTTAAAAACAAGCTCGACATTCATTTATACAATAAGCCCTCAATTTCTTTGCTGACATATCATTTCCGGGAAGCAGGGAAATTTATCAGGGATCTTCAGTGCTATTCTATCCTTAATCTGACCATCAGTTCTTGAAACCGACAAGAACATTGAGAAGTCAGTGAGGCGATTCCTCAGGGATCTAGAACTAGAAATACCATTTGACCCAGCCATCCCATTACTGGGTATATACCCAAAGGATTATAAATCATGCTGCTATAAAGACACATGCACACGTATGTTTATTGCGGCACTATTCACAATAGCAAAGACTTGGAACCAACCCAAATGTCCAACAATGATAGACTGGATTAAGAAAATGTAGCACATAATACACCATGGAATACTATGCAGCCATAAAAAATGATGAGTTCTTGTCCTTTGTAGGGACATGGATGAAGCTGGAAACCATCATTCTCAGCAAACGATCGCAAGGACAAAAAACCAACCACCGCATGTTCTCACTCATAGGTGGGAATTGAAGAATGAGAACACATGGACAGAGGAAGGGGAACATCACACACCGGGGCCTGTTGTGGGGTAGGGGGAGGGGGGAGGGATAGCATTAGGAGATATACCTAAAATTAAAAGATGAGTTAATGGGTGCAGCACACCAACATGGCACATGTATACATATGTAACTAACCTGCACGTTGTGCACATGTACCCTAAAACTTAAAGTATAATAAAAAAATAACAATTTAATTTTAGAAACTGTGATAGAGGGCAAATGGTAAAAAGGCATACCTGTCCCTTAGTATTTTGGATAGCAGGGATTTCTAAATTCATACAAAAGAGAGATATGATTTTTTTAGTGGGAAGTTATGAAGGGAAGGTATATTGCATTAGAAAGCTCTCATAACAGCAATCTGACTGTGAGATTAATAATACACTGCAAGTTGTATCATGGAGGATTTGGGGTACACAAATAATGCCCCATGTTTCCTTCATTCATTCAATAAAAATGTAAATTATTGCTTATGACAGATACTATGCTTGGTGCTGTTGACAGGGTGCCTCTCCTTGTAGAGTTTTTGATCTAATATGGAATATAGAGAAGAACAGAGGTGATAAAAACCTAGTGTCACAAGTGATGTATAGGGCAAATTTGATGATGACACCGTACATGTATGTGGAGCATCTAATCTGGACTTGAAAGGAGATGCCCTTAGCAGGTAAAGTCCATTTGGGGAATTAAGGAATGAGTAGGAGTAAGTTAGACAAAGTCTGGGGAAAGATAGTTCTAAGAACATGAAACAACATCAGTTCATACCAAGAGGACAAGTTTTCAAGTGATTTTTTCAAAGATTTCAGATGTTTTCTAAAAAATAGATATAGGTGATAAAATAAATAACTAAAAAGTGTGGTGTAAATGCAAGTTTTATAGTAGCATAAAAAATAAAATGAACTTTTTGATTAAAAATTTTCTAAGAATGGCCAAAAGGAATTTTTTGTTTGTTGATATAGTAAGAGGCAGAGGAAGATCAAAGAATGGAGAAATCTGCTAACAGAGGCAGAGCATCAAATACTGACAAGCAACACAGAGGAGACTAAACTTTTGTTTCTATCTCCAAGAAAAAATGTATTCAGAGTGGAAAGGGTAGAATAACCTGCTTTGGCTAAGGTCAGAGAAAATGAATCATGGGTAAAAATACTTTTGGGGAGCCTTCTAGATTGAATAAATGTTATTCAAATCTCCTGGTCCATTCTATATTCTTGTCAATGCAATTAAGATTCAACAAAGCAAGAGTATAGCATGTGTAGCTGCTCATTAAAGAATAACCTTCGGCTAGAAAGACACTTCACTTAGCAAAATTAATCAGATTGCCCTTGAGAATGGTCACATATTTCTGTCTTTTGGTACATTACTGAAATTCCTGGCAGGGATAGACGGGTCAGGGAGAATTTCATAAGTAGGGATAGAGTGATTTAAGTAATTTGGCCATGGTACTAGTAGACTTTTCCTTGGAAAGACACAGACATTGTTTTCTTTGTTTTTTATTTTGAGTAAAAGTTGGCAATTTTACAATTTAGCAGAACAAATAAATCTGTGACATTATTGCCAATTTGGTAGTCAATTTCATGCACTTTTGAGACTTTCTAGGTAAGAGTCCAACAGAATGATTAAGTGTGCAAAATCTCTGGAATCAGACTGCTTGATTTTGAAATCTCCACTTTATGATGAAACTGAATCACAGAGAAGATAAATTACTTCCCTTTGGTCATGCCAATGTTTGACATTAACCTTGGTGTTCGTTAGGTTTATCTACTACGAAGTTTTATTGTTTCCCTTCCTTTCCATACTATATGCTTGGGAAGAAAGTCAAATGCACAGCCCACACTTAAGAAGGGACAATGTCCTTAAAGGCAGTTTATCTATATAAATCATTTGAATTCTCTGTTTTCTCTCATTTATTTATTTATTCAATAATTTATATCAGTATGGTCTCATAGCTATGTATTTTGTACTTTGTTTTGTAATCCAATACTAATTTGTTCCAACTGTGGTCATTGGGAGTTCTTTTAGTTGGTTCCTGTATCACTTTGACATGCCCTTGTCATTGTGGTGGTTTTTAAAAGCACTTTCTCACTTTATAGAAGTACAAGATGCCCCAGACTCATCTTGTACATTTCCTCCCAGTCATATTATCAGCCATTTCTATAAGGAGCCCTTGTTCTCTTTAATTGGAAAATGGTATAAGAAACCAAGATTTGTGTGTTAGATGTGTTCATGTTACTGGGGTGGCATTGCTCCTGGGCCCTCTCAGCTAACAGAGCAAGAAGGTTTATGTGTATATACTAACCAATGTACATACACATATTTCTAAATATTTCTATATGCAACTGCCTATATCTATATTAAGCTAAACATGAGTTCATATTGATGTCTTCAATGTCAATCAACTATCACACAGGTCATTTAACCCTTCCCTTGTCTGTAACCTCCCATTTCAATGGTAAAAAACCTGTCTTCCACAATCTAACATCAATTCACTTAATAGTTTAACTCCAGTATAGATAAATAGTTTATACTATACTCCAGTATGGATAAATAGTGGTTTAAGAATCATTAGCCTGGCTGGGTGTGGTGGCTTACGCCTGTAATCCCAGCATTTTGAAAGGCTGAGGCAGGCAGATCACCTGAGGTCAGAGTTGAAGACCAGCCTGACCAACATGGTGAAAGCCTGTCTCTACTAAAAATACAAAATTAGCCAGGTGTGGTGGCACATGCCTGTAATCCCAGCTACTCAGGAGGTTGAGACAGGAGAATGGCTTGAACTTGGGAGGTGGAGGTGGCAGTGAGTTGAGATCACGCCATTGCACTCCAGCCTGGACAACAAGATTGAAACTCCTTCTTAAAAAAAAAAAAAAAAAAAAAAATCATCAGCCTATACCCCTTGGGAAACAAATTTATGAATTAGAAGACAGTGCTTACATACAGTTCCTTTTGCCTGCAGTCTTACAGACTCCACACACTTCCAAAGTTTATGGCTCCTTATTTCTCTACACACTTTAGTGAATTTTTTTTTTCATGTGTTTGTAATACATTTAGTTTTTTTGTCACAGTCAGCATTCTCTTCTTGGACCCACCTACCTCCCAATTGATTTCTTAGATTTTCATACATTGAGACTACTCTTTGTGCTGTAAAGCTCTATGATTTTTGACAAATGCTTAATGTTGTATTCAAAAAATACATAGAATACTTTTAATTTCTTAAGTAAATTCTATGCGCTTTACCTATTCAACCATCCCGTGACTACAAACCACTGGCAACCAATGATCTGCTTATCATTACTATAGTTATGCCAAAATATAATATAATTGGACTTACACAGTATGTATATTTTTCAAACTGGATTTTTTTTTCACTTAGCAATATGCATTCAGGATTAATCCATGCCTTTTTGTACAACAGCTCATTTCCGTTTATAGCTAGATAATATTTTATTGTATATCTTATCGTATGTACATAGTACAATTTATTTATTCATTCACTATCTAAGAGCAAAAACATTCGGCCTTTCACCATTAAACATGACGTAAGTTGCAAGATTTTTAGAGAAACTTTTTTATTTGGAAAACATTTTCTTGTTGCATTATTCACAGTTAGCTGAAAGTTCCCATCAGAAATGCAGGTTAGATTTGGTCGAACGCTTTTTCCGCATCTATTAAGATGATCAAATAGTTGTTCTTTTTCAATCTGTTAATACGGTGAATTATATTGATTGATTTTAATATATTATACCAATCTTGTTTCTTTGAGATAAACCCACCTTGGTCATGATACTGTTTGTATATATTATTGGATTAAATTGGCTGTTCTTTTTTTTAATTTTAGTACCTATGGTCAACAAGGATATCACTCTGTAGTTATCTTTTCTTATAACATTTTTTTTCAAATTCAGTTATCAGAATAACACTGGCCTCATAGATTGAGTTATAAAATATTCCTTTCCCCTTAATTTCCTGAATGAGTTTATAAAAAACTGATAGCATTTTCTACATATAGTTTTTAAAGAAATTACCATTGAAGTCATATGAATCTGGCTTTTAATGAAAAAGAGAGGAAATATTTTAAACTACAAATAGAAATTCTATAACAGGTATAAGACTATTTAAGGTATCTATTATACCAAGAGTGGGCTTGATATTTTGTGACTTGCAAAGGATTCATTTCACCTAAGTTGTCAAAATTGTTGTCATAAAGTTTTTTCTCATATTTTTTCTATTATTTCTTTTATATGTATACTAAATATCACCACTCCCATTCTCATATCAGTAATTTGTGTAATTCTCCCTTTTTCTCTGCTCAGTCTGAGTAATATTTATCAATTTAATTCGTCTTCTAAAAGAGCCAGCTTTTAGTTTATACTTAACATTGGGTTTAGTCTGTGCTTCCATTTTCTTGTTTTCTTAAGGTAGAGGTTTGAACATTATTCTAAGGCCTTTCTTTTCTAATATCTATAACTTTTCCTCCAAGCGCAATTTTAGAAGTATTCTATAATTTGTGTATTCAGAGTTTTTATTTTTGTTCCATTCCAAATACAGCCTACTTTTAGCTCTCTTTCGGTTCACGTGTTATTTAGATATATGTTAATTAATTTCCAAGTATTTAGAAATTGTCAAGATATCTTTCTCATATTTATTTACAATTTAATTTCTGTCTAGTCAGAGAATATATTTCATCTAAACTGAATTTTTTACATTTATTGAGACTTGTTTTATGTATGAGCATATTGTCTATCTTGGTAAATATACATGTGCACTTGAAAATAACTTGTATGCTGCTCTTGTTCAATACTGTTCATGTCTTCTATGTTCTTAGTGATTTTCTGTCAACTTATTCTCTAAATTGTTAAGAAATAGGACAGAAATCTCTGACTAGAATTGTGTTTGTATCTATTTCTCCTTACATTCCTATCAGTTTTTGTTTCATGTGTTTTAAAACTCTGTTAAGTGTATATACATTTTGAATTATACATCCTTTGGATGAATTCATTTATTTATCCATTTATTAAGAAATAATCTTTTTATTATAACATATATTTATGTGATATTAATATAGACAATACAACTTCCTTTTTATTACAATTAGTATGCTTTTTTTCTATTAATTTTTTAAAGAAAATTAACAAGTTTCTTTTAGTGTAATTTTAGGTTTAAGATCCAGTAGAAATTACAGAGAACTTTCTTCCATTTCCTCCTCTCTTTCACACAGTTTCTTGTATCATAATTATCTTGCATTATTTATTACAATTGGTGAATCAATATCAATACCTGATTATTAACTGAAGTCCACAATTTGCATTAAGTTTACTGTTTTTGCTGTGCAGTTCTGTAGATTTTGACAAATGATAATGTGTTATAGCCACCCTTACACTACCGTGCAAAATAGTTTCACTGCCCTAAAAATCTCCTGTGCTGTATCTATTCATTCCTTCCTCTATATCTTTTTACTTTTAAACAACTTATGTTTAGATTTAATGTGTGTTTCTCATAGGAAACATATAATGAGTCTTTTTTTTTCTTTGTATCTAGTTGGCAATCTACACCATATAATTGGTACATTTAAATCATTTACACTTAATGTGCTGATAAATATGTATGGTTTAAGTACCAACTTGCTTTTTATTTTCTTTTTGTGACATCTGTTACTTCTCTCCTATCTTTCATCCCTTTCTTTTGTTTCTTTTTTTTTATTTAATATGTTTTTTGAGTCAATGCTGTCTCCTTTGTTGTATTATCAACTATAATTCTTTGCTTTTTTTTTTAGTGATTGCTCTAGGAGTTGTACTTTTCATCTTTAACCCATCAGTGTCTACCTTAAAATAATATAATAGCACTTCAGATGTAGTATAAGAGCCTTGAAATAGTACATTTTCATTTCTTCCTCCTGGACTTTATCCTATTTTTATCATGCAAGGTACTTCTGTGTACGTTGTACTTATAGTGTACTTCACTATATACATGAATTTTTATTTAAATAGTCATTTATCATTTAAAGAGACCTAAATAATAAAAAATATTTTATCTGTACAAATGTAATTACAATTTCTAGGATTCTTTATTCCCTTGTATTGAGTCAGATTTTCACCTGATGTCATTTTTCCTCTGCTTGAAGGACTTCTGTTAATATTTCTTGTCAGGAAGGTCTGCAGTTAATAAATTATCTCAGCTTTGGCACCTCTGAAAAAGTCCTTATTTCTACTTTATTCCTGAAAGATACTTTTTTTAGGGATTAGAATTATGGATTGGCCTTTTAGTCTTTGCAATACTTTCAAGATGTTGCATTGTTGCCTCCTGGCTTTTATGGTTTCAAAGAAGTATGCGGCCATTATAATCTTTGTATGTTAGTATGTAATGTGTCTTTTATATCTGTCTGATTTACATACTTTCTTTTTACCTTGACTCCAAGAAATTTATTTATAATGTCCATTCATGTGGCCTTGCGCACGCACGTGTGTGTGTGTGTGTGCTTAAGGTTCATTTATTTTCTTGTATCAGTAAGTTTATAATTTTTATCAATATTGGAAATATTTAGGCCATTACTTTCTTAAATAATTTTCCTGAAACCTGCTTTAACTTCTTTACTTTAGGTTTCCAATTTTCCATATAATAGACCAACATCTCGCTGAAGCTGTTTTTGTTTGTTTGTTTTTTTTTTTTCCAGTCTTCTTTTTCTCTTACTGGTTCATTTTAGCTTCTTTCCATTTCTATGCTTTCAAGTTCCCTAATTATGTCCTCTGCGGTGTATGATCTGTTATTAATTCCATCCAGTGTAATTTTTCTCAAACATTGTAGTTTTCATTTTTAAGAGTTAAATGTAGATCTTTTAAAATACTATCAATATCTCTAGCTGATATGCTCACTCTTTACTTTAGCTCAATGAATATATGGAGTAGAATAATAATACCTGTTCTTGGGGAAAGGATCTGAATAAGCATTTCTCAAAAAAGAATGCTAATTCTTCTTTTGAATACTAATCTCATGTGTCCAAAGGGTACATGAAAAAAATGTTCAAAATCACTAATCATTAGAAAAAGGCACATAAAACTAACCCTATTTTAAATGCTGCTTATCAAATGTCAGGCAATAGCAAATGCTGGCAAGGATGCAGAGAAAGAGGAACCTTTGTACACTAGTGGCAGGAATGTAAATTTTTAATAGTACAGCTACTATGGAATACAGTATAGAGGCTCCTCGTAAAACTAAGAATAGAACTATCATATGATCCAGCAATTCCATTGCTGGGTGTATATCCAAAAGAATAAAAATCAGTATATCAAAGAGTTATCTGCACCCCCATGTTTATTCCAGCACTATTCTCAATGGATAAGATATGAAATCAACTTAAGTGTCCATCAATTAACAAATGGATTAAGAAACGTGGTACTTACATGTAATACAATATTATTCCACCATAAAAAGAATGAAATCCTGTGATTTGCAGCAACATGGATAGAACTGAAGGTCATTATATTAAATGAAATAAGCCAGGGAAAGAAACACAAATACTGCATGTTTTCAGCTCCTATAGGGGAGCTAAAAACATGGATCTCATGGAGGTAGGGAATGGATCAGTAGTTAGCAGAGTCTGGCAAGTATAGCCAAGAGAAGTTGGCTAATAAGTACGAAACACAAACAGAAGAAATAAGATCTAGTGCTCAATAATACAGCAGGGTGACTACGGTTAACAATAATATGTTGTATACTTCAAAATAGTTGGAAGAAAAGATTTGGAATGTTCCCAATAAAACAAAAAATTAATGTTTGAGATGATAGATACCCCAATTACTTTTATTTGATCATTACAATGTTGTATGCATGTATCAAAATATCACAGGTATCCCCCAAATATATAACTATTATCTATCAATAAATAACTATTGTAATTTTGTTATCTACTAATTTCACCATCTATATTATTACTAGATCAATTACAATTGATTCATCTTTCTCTCATGACAGGTTTTATCTTTTTCCACTTTTTTTCATGCTTAGTCATTTTTTTATTGCATGTGAGTGAAACTTTGTGAATTTTACATTATGTTGAATAATTTTGAAATTACTTAAATATTCTTGAGCTTTATTCCACGCATAGATTACCTGAAAACAGATAGAGTTTTTTAGGTCTTGCTTTTAATCTTTCTTAGGTGAGATTAAAGCAGTGTTTAGGCTAGGGCAGGGGTCCCCAGGCTGCGGACCTGTACCAGTCAGTGACCTGTTAGGAACCGGGCTGCGCAGTAGGAGGTGAGCAGTGGGTGAGTGAGCATTACCACCTGAGCTCCACCTCCTGGCAGATCAGTGGTGGCATTAGATAGATGCTCATAGGAGTGGGAACCCTATTGTGAACTGCGCATGCGAGGCATCTAGGTTGTGTGCTCCTTATGGGAATCTAATTAATTCCTGATTCTCTGAGGTGGAACAGTTTTGTTCCAAAACCATCCCCTCCACAAACCCTGCTCCATGGAAAAATTGTCTTCCGCGAAACCAGTCCCTGGTGCCACAAAGGTTGGGGGCTGCTGGATTAGGGGATATTATTTTCCACTACTGAGACAGTCTTTCTGAAATACCCACCGGAGTCCTTGTAAATTACATGGTTCTTCACATTTTATCTAGTAGAAACAACTATTCCTAGCCCAGCTGTGAATGGTTCCTTCAGATGCACGTACTGATGAGTACTCAATTTCAGAAATTAGGGTGATCCTCTGCAAATCTCTGGAGCGCTCTCTTTTTGCAGCTTTCTCCACTTTGGTGCTCTGCTTTGAGAACTCCAGCCAGTTGGACCTTTCAAGTTTCTTAGCTCTTCTCAACTGGAGGAGACCACTGGGTTCTGCCCGAGTTACCTCTCCCTGTGCCCATGACCTGGAAACTTACTCTCCAGGAACTAAGCTGGATAATTAAAAAACCATATTTGTTTCCTTCCTCATCTCTTAGGGACTAGTGCTTTTCATTGTCTGATGCCTAATATTTTACATTTCTTGTTTTATATATTTTATTTGGATTTTTAGTTGTTTTTAGTGGGAAAGCATATCTGGATTCTATTGCTTCATCTTGGCTGGAACAACAAGTAATAAATGTGATTTATTTTCTTATTGCTATCGAAATGATACATCACTTGAAAATCTGCATAATTCTGCAAACCAATGTTTTCCTAATGACCAAGGCATGATTTTACAAAATCATGTGTAGTTAAAATATCCCTTCAAATTGCAAGCTAGATCTCTTGATTTTTATGTAACCAAGCATTAAGTATTTATTGATATGGTTTCAGATTGTATATTTAAATAAAAATATCTAAAATTAATAGAAAGGATATTAAAATGCTCTTCTCTTTTTCAACCACATATACATGTGAAGCCACGTTTTCTTTAAAAGGTTTCAATTACAAGATTATATAGTCAGCGGTTGAATATAGAAATAGATATGGCAATAAACCTGTGTTTTATTAAGCAAGATATTAAGTCAGTCATCAAAAGTATAAAACGATGTCATTCTTCTTGTTACTTTTTTTTGTTTGTTTTGGAAAATAGCATTAATTTTTCCTAAAAGCACATTATTTAGTTTAACATGTAAAAAAATAGTATTATTTTAAATAAATCAACAAATACACATCTTAGAATTTCTCAGTTTCAGTCTTTTAGTATGGTGAATACCCTACATAAACCAAAGCTCTTTGAAATTCTCGGTAGTTTTTAAGTGTAAAGGATCCTGAGATCTTAAAATTTGAGAATAGCTATATTAGAAATATGAGTGCCTGTTATGGATCTCTTTCCCTAAGGTTGTTAATAGAGAGGCTGTAACTTCTCTTTTGTTGTCCTATATCCTCTTAAGAACCTGTTAGAATAACATATGTGTATGAGACTGGGGTAGGGAATCCCATCATATATACTCATTCAATTACCTGTAAGACTATACGACTAAGAAAGACAAAATTCAGTAATTTTATACATAAAAATGGGTTTAGCCAAGGTACATTATTGGTTATCTTTGTTTTATCTTATCTTTTGAGTGAAAACATAATTACTACCTGAACTGTGACTGTAACAGCATTATTTTGTCTTCCTGTTTTCTCAGAATGAGAAAAAAAATAACAATATTCAGAAGATGAAAAATCCTGTAAATATTCAGACTCACTTCTCCTTTAGCTTTCTTCCCTATAACAATGTTAGAGAATCACAAACAGCAATGCCTTCAGAAACCTATTTCATTAATTCAGAAAGTGTTTATTTAGCATCGTTTATTGTGGTAAGAAAGCCAAGGCAGAGTCCCTGCATTCAAGGAACTTACTATCTCATAGACGATAAAAAAGTGATATAAAGGTAATATAAAGTAGTATAATAAATGGAATTGTGGTATAGAAAAGCAGAAAGTTTTAAAATTTAGATTAATCATTAAAAGTATGCTAAGAATAAATCTTGATTCGATCACAGTCTTCAGGAAGGAATATTATAATAAGAAATCCTGGTTCTTCATGACTTTAAAGAATTATACACAATAAGAGTGTAGAAAATTGGCCTGCTGGGAGTTGACCTCTTTTCATTTTTTAAAAAGGTAAATTCTAGTGAACATTCTTCTCTTTCCAATTTAAATATTGTTCTATGCTTCTAATATTATTCTCTAAAATTATTTACAAGTCAACAATGATATTTAAACCAAATCTGAAATATTTAACAAGTCAACAATTATATTTAAACCAAATGTGAAATATTTAAGAAAAAGAATAAAAATATTTAGAAAACAAAAAGTTATTTTCACTTTACATTGCAGCCCAGTTCAGAGTATTTATTCTTATGTGGGTTATCTAATCAGGAAGAAAACAAGTGTACCTGTCAGCAAAGACAGGAGAATGAGCTCTGAAATTTATTGTTTTGTCATTTTCTCTGGATTTAAAATAGAAAGGATGCCACTGTACTCTTAGGGCTATCTTTAGATCACTCAAATGATTTATTTCTTTCCCCTTTAGGAAATAGCATACATCAGATGATTCCCATGGGAAGCTTAAAGAAATTAGAATGTGTTTATTTAATTTTATTTTTCATCTCTTCATCTTGAACATTAAGAATCTGTTCCAAAGGGATAGAGATAGACAGACAGACAGATAGACAGATAGATAGATTAGGCTTTGAGGGTCTGTGGGAGAGGTCAGTGTGCCATGATTACTGTCTTGATCTATAACCCATAATAGCTATAGTTTCTCTAGCCCACAGTAATAAAAACTGTGTTATTTAAGCATTACCATGTGCCAGGCACCATGCTAAACACTTTCTGTGCCTCCTCTCATTATTTCACACAAAGTGGATTGGTTGATCACATTGGACTCCAAAAGAAACAAAATAAAATTGGCTCATTCCTTTTTTAAAAATACACGCAAATAAAGATTTTTATTTTCTCTAAAAAAAAAAAAAATCTGTTCCATCTCAACCTCTAGGCTAATTGGTTTGTGAGTGGCATTCACCTTTTGTTTAAGTTATTTGTATATTTGAATGGCATGAGCAATAGGTTTCTTTAATTACCCAAACATTTTTGATATCATAAGATGTTATCGATTTCATTTGCTTTGGATGTATTTGTGATTTTAATGATAATGTAGCTTGGATAGTGAAGATTTCAGTCTCTAATCATCCAACATCATTGGGGAAACTAATGTCGTTCTTTAATACTGATATTAGTTTTAATATTCTCACTGTTCTACACTTTATCCACATAAGCAGGTTCTTTAGAAGCCTTATTCTAAAATGATAGCATATATATATAATCTGATCAAACACACTCCATACATTTACTGATCTTATTCTACTATAATAGTCTACATTTGTTCATTTCTAATTTTTAAATATTATAGAGGTATAGGTCCTGTATGTTAATTATACTACTACTGAAATTTATTTTATATAAGAAGGGTGTTTTTGCTTCACATAAAAACTGACATAATATGAAATATGACAAAATATGAAATGAAGAAAATATTCTAGGCCTGTAATAGAGATGAAGAAGTTAAATAACCAGAATTTAAAGGTCCTGGTGGATTAAAAATTTTTATCATAGAATCATAACATTTTAAAACAGGAAAGAACTTTAGAGCGTATGCATTCTAATACTTGTGCTCCAAAAATGAGGTAACTAAGATTCAGAAAAATTAAGTGACTTGTTCAGTAACATGTAGTCTTTGGTAGTGTTAATACTAGACTAACATATAGTTAGTCTTTGGTAAGATGAATACCTAGTTTCTGTGTAAGATTTTGCCACCTAGAAAACTAATTGGCCAATTCATATAAAGAAATGATTTTACTTTATTTAATTTAAAAAGTGTCGGCAGCATATGGAGGAGTTTTCTTAAACCAAACTGTTAATAAAGCAATTGGGGTTGTATTAAAGTAGATGTATGATGTATATTCATTTGGGTATATACCCAGTAATGGGATTGCTGGGTCAAATGGTATTTCTGGTTCTAGATCTTTGAGGAATTGCCACACTGTCTTCCATAATGGTTGAATTAATTTACATTCCCACCAACAGTGTAAAAGTGTTCCTATATTTCCACAACCTCGCCAGTAACTGATGTTTCTTGACTTTTTAATAATTGCCATTCTGACTGATGTGAGATGGTATCTCATTGCAGTTTTGATACATGCACGTGTATCTTCACTGCAGCACTGTTCACAATAGAAAACATGGAATCAACCCAAATGCCCAACAGTGACAGACTGGATAAAAAAAAAAAAAGTGCTACATATACACCATGGAATACTAAGCAGCCATAAAAAGGAACAAGATCATGTCCTTTGAAGGAACATGAATGGAGCTGAAAGCCATTATCCCCAGCAAACTAACACAGGAATAGAAAACCAAACACCCCATGCTCTCACTTATAGGTGGGAGCTAAACAATAAGAACACATGGACACAGGGAAGGGAACAACATACACTGGGGCCTGTTGGACGGTGAGCTGGGGGGCGGAGAGCATCAAGAAAAATAATAGCTAATGCATGCTGTGCTTAATACCCAGGTGATGGGTTTATAGATGCAGTAAACCACCATGTCACACGTTTACCTATGTAACAAACCTGCATATCTTGCACACGTACCCTGGAACTTTAAAGAAAAATAATTTGTTTTAAAAAAGTAGATCTATGATTGAAGTAGACTAGGGCTGATAGAAGTTGTTCAAATTGAAGAGATTGCCATTGCTAAAGCCAAATCAAAAAGTCACATTGTTAATTTAGTATATTAAAATCATGTGTTTTTTTCTTAACCTCACTGACAAGTAAATTTAATGAAACATTTTAAAATGACAGTTCATTCTAGGATGTACTAATGCAGGAGCTCTCAACTTTGTAGGGACTGCATATTCTAAAACAACCTGATGCTATTTAGTTTACAGCAAGGTATCCAGTACCATCTGACAAATGTAGGAAGTGTTCATCAAATTGTATTAACTAATTTATCGACCAAATACTATCCGCAAAAGAAAGGCATAGAAAGTGTGATTGCAGATTCTATCTAATTGGCATAACACACTGAACTATCAGCACCTAGAGATAAGCATGTGGCACTCTATCAATCACCTGATTTTTTTAAGAGAGGAGATAAAAATAGGGAAATAAATAAGAATCAAGTGCACTACCAATGAGAGACAGTACTTACAATCACTGAATGAAAGTGATTGTAATCACTCTTTACATGGCTTTTAAGGGTTTTCAATAAGTCATGAGTTCTCAACTGAGGATTAGTGTTAGGGGAAAGCAGAGAACTTTCTTTCCCCTCCATATGATTTGGGAGTAGAGCAGTCACTCCGACAGATGAAGTGAAGGCATTTCTTAAAAACAAACAAACAAACAAAAATACCAACCATCCATCATAGTAGTTGGTAATGCCCTCAAGAAGAAGGGCACATCTCTCATCTGCTCTTCTTATGTGAAATAATATTTACACACTGAAAATTCTCAAGTGGTTATTTTTGACCCAGAACTCTTCCATGAACAGTACATCTAACTGTAGATTTTGTCTCTGAAATTAGATTTCTAACACTGCAAGCTTAACATGTCCAAAACTGAACTTATTTCCATACACTCCTACTCACCTCTCACAGTCTTCTCCCATCACAGGAAATATCAACTCCTTTCTTTCAGTTTCTCTAATAAATGTTATCAGAATCATCCTTGACTTTTCTCTTTTTCTTATGTTATATATTCAATCTATCAAAAAATTCTAGCATTTTTTCCTGCAAAATTCAATCGGAATTCATTTACTTCTTCCCATCTTTTTTTTTTTTTTTCATGATGTTTCTTTCTCTTTTTTTTTTTTAATGTTTTTTTTTTTTTAATTATACTTTAAGTTTTAGGGTACATGTGCACATTGTGCAGGTTAGTTACATATGTATACATGTGCCATGCTGGTGCGCTGCACCCACTAACGTGTCATCTAGCATTAGGTATATCTCCCAATGCTATCCCTCCCCCCTCCCCCGACCCCACCACAGTCCCCAGAGTGTGATATTCCCCTTCCTGTGTCCATGTGATCTCATTGTTCAATTCCCACCTATGAGTGAGAATATGCGGTGTTTGGTTTTTTGTTCTTGCGATAGTTTACTGAGAATGATGGTTTCCAATTTCATCCATGTCCCTACAAAGGACATGAACTCATCATTTTTTATGGCTGCATAGTATTCCATGGTGTATATGTGCCACATTTTCTTAATCCAGTCTATCATTGTTGGACATTTGGGTTGGTTCCAAGTCTTTGCTATTGTGAATAATGCCACAATAAACATACATGTGCATGTGTCTTTATAGCAGCATGATTTATAGTCCTTTGGGTATATACCCAGTAATGGGATGGCTGGGTCAAATGGTATTTCTAGTTCTAGATCTCTGAGGAATCGCCACACTGACTTCCACAATGGTTGAACTAGTTTACAGTCCCACCAACAGTGTAAAAGTGTTCCTATTTCTCCACATCCTCTCCAGCACCTGTTGTTTCCTGACTTTTTAATGATTGCCATTCTAACTGGTGTGAGATGGTATCTCATTGTGGTTTGGATTTGCATTTCTCTGATGGCCAGTGATGATGAGCATTTTTTTCATGTGTTTTTTGGCTGCATAAATGTCTTCTTTTGAGAAGTGTCTGTTCATGTCCTTCGCCCACTTTTTGATGGGGTTGTTTGTTTTTTTCTTGTAAATTTGTTTGAGTTCATTGTAGATTCTGGATATTAGCCCTTTGTCAGATGAGTAGGTTGTAAAAATTTTCTCCCATGTTGTAGGTTGCCTGTTCACTCTGATGGTAGTTTCTTTTGCTGTGCAGAAGCTCTTTAGTTTAATTAGATCCCATTTGTCAATTTTGGCTTTTGTTGCCATTGCTTTTGGTGTTTTGGACATGAAGTCCTTGCCCACGCCTATGTCCTGAATGGTAATGCCTAGGTTTTCTTCTAGGGTTTTTATGGTTTTAGGTCTAACGTTTAAATCTTTAATCCATCTTGAATTGATTTTTGTATAAGGTGTAAGGAAGGGATCCAGTTTCAGCTTTCTACATATGGTTAGCCAGTTTTCCCAGCACCATTTATTAAATAGGGAATCCTTTCCCCATTGCTTGTTTTTCTCAGGTTTGTCAAAGATCAGATAGTTGTAGATATGCGGCGTTATTTCTGAGGGCTCTGTTCTGTTCCATTGATCTATATCTCTGTTTTGGTACCAGTACCATGCTGTTTTGGTTACTGTAGCCTTGTAGTATATTTTGAAGTCAGGTAGTGTGATGCCTCCAGCTTTGTTCTTTTGGCTTAGGATTGACTTGGCGATGCGGGCTCTTTTTTGGTTCCATATGAACTTTAAAGTAGTCTTTTCCAATTCTGTGAAGAAAGTCATTGGTAGCTTGATGGGGATGGCATTGAATCTGTAAATTACCTTGGGCAGTATGGCCATTTTCACGATATTGATTCTTCCTACCCATGAGCATGGAATGTTCTTCCATTTGTTTGTGTCCTCTTTTATTTCCTTGAGCAGTGGTTTGTAGTTCTCCTTGAAGAGGTCCTTCACATCCCTTGTAAGTTGGATTCCTAGGTATTTTATTCTCTTTGAAGCAATTGTGAATGGGAGTTCACTCATGATTTGGCTCTCTGTTTGTCTGTTGTTGGTGTATAAGAATGCTTGTGATTTTTGTACATTGATTTTGTATCCTGAGACTTTCCTGAAGTTGCTTATCAGCTTAAGGAGATTTTGGGCTGAGACGATGGGGTTTTCTAGATAAACAATCATGTCGTCTGCAAACAGGGACAATTTGACTTCCTCTTTTCCTAATTGAATACCCTTTATTTCCTTCTCCTGCCTAATTGCCCTGGCCAGAACTTCCAACACTATGTTGAATAGGAGCGGTGAGAGAGGGCATCCCTGTCTTGTGCCAGTTTTCAAAGGGAATGCTTCCAGTTTTTGCCCATTCAGTATGATATTGGCTGTGGGTTTGTCATAGATAGCTCTTATTATTTAAACACAACTTTCAAGGTCTAAGCTTCCATCAACTCTTTCCAAGATTATTCTAACAGGCTCCTACTTCTATATCCTGTCTTTGCAATTGACACCTTCAATCTATATTTTTTTCAGCAGCTAAAAGAAACCATTTAAAAAGAAAACATGAGTGTGCCGGATCTCTCTTGAAAACTCTGCAAAGCCTTCCTTTCTCACTAAGAGTGAAATCCAAAGTCCTTCCTACGGCTAAATGCCTTGATTAATCTGGCAGTCTCTCCCTGGCCCAGAACTTCCCCCACCACATACCTCTTTGAATCTTTCTCCCACTCTTTTCTTTGCCTTGCCCTTCCCTATTTGTCACCATGTGTACATACCACGCCTGCTTCCATCTAGTTCCTTTGTACTTGCTTGTTCTTATGCCTGAACCAACTATTTCTTTCCTTTATTTTCCTCTAGTCTCTGCTTATTAGTCTCTTTGGTACTGGGGCATGGTTAATCCATATAAAAATCGCAACATTAATCTGCTGGAACTCTCTATCCCTCTCATTCTATTTTATTTTTTCTACAGACGTTATCACTACATGACATAATACTTTCAAAGTGTTTTATTCATTTTTTTTTTCATTAGAATGTAGCTCCATGAAGACAGGGTAGTTTATGTTATCCATTTCTATATCTAAGATTATCAGATAAAATACAGGGCACTCAGATAAGCTTTAATTTTTTATGAAAACAAGTAATTTTAATACAAAAATGTCCCAAATATTGCACACTTCTACCAATAACTTATGTTTATCTGAAATTCACATTTGGTTGGGCATCTGTACTTGTATTTGCTAAATCTGATATCCCCACTTATATTTCCAGTGCTGAAAACAAGAACTGGCATGGCTTAACCATTCAGTAAATATTTTCTGAATGAATTAAAAAATGAATTATATGGCCAGCAATGGTAGAACACCATTAACGTGTTATTAAATGAACATGTATCCCTCAGGGCTTAGGGGAGTATATAAATCAAGAGACTGAAGCCTGTTTCTATCCTAGAAAAGTCTAAAGACCAAAGATTGGTTGAGGTAACAGGAATCTACATGATAAAGAAAGAAGGATTAGTGGTCAGATCAGGTACACTTCCTGAATGGCAGGGTAAGCAATAAATTCTCAGGGAAAGCGGGATGGGTTCAAATCATCTTCAAGTTACTTTGGCCAAGTGGGTTGTCTGCTGTGGTAAGAGGACCATAGCAATAAAAATCCATGGGTCTTCTATCCCACTAAGAAAGGGATAGGATAAAGAAGACATAGCAAAGCATTTATCAGAGAATGTATCACTCAAGACAGGAACCTTAAAAGTCTCAGGTTTTCCATGAGAGAACCAATATTTGAAGGTCAGCTCTGACAGTGGATGGTTATAAGAGATAACAAACAATATAACTCATTTAGACATTTTTTTTCTAACTTTTTTTAACTCTACATAAAACCTAGAGGACAGGAAGAAAAACAGAGAGGAAGTCAGGGAAGACTTAAACAAGAACTCACACCCTCATTTCTATATTGTAAGTCCCTGAGCTACAAGTCAAAGTAAAGCTAAAAAAAAGAGAAAACACTTCAAATTGCATGTAGAACTGAAATTTTAAGTGGAATTGGACTACTGCACATGTAAAATTGAGTCACGAGTTTCAAAAAAAGAGATCATGATTAAATAATAATATTATTAAATGATACTATTATAAATGAGTGGCTAGAAACATATGAAAATTTGTCAAAGTTTTATCATAGGAAACAAGAAGTGATAATATGTTTGTAGTAAAGTATAAAGCCATTTTCTGTATTCTGTTGAGTTTAATATATATGATATTAGTTAATAACTTTGGGAGTAATATGAAGGGGCAAGAGGAAGGTAAAAGTGAAGGTAATAAAGAGTGAAAGAAAAATAAATGGAAGGGAACTTGAAATGAATATATCCATACAAAGAAATCAAACTGTAATTAAAACATAATATATTACATCTTACCAGAGTATAACTTATAAAGCCTCACATTAGCATTTAGGAGTTCTCAACAGTTATAATTCAAATTAACTGTCTTCAGAGAACAGTTATAAGGGCAAAAACAAGGAATTATACGTTGGGAAAACAATAGATGAGATATCACAAAGATATACATGGCTAATTATTAGATGATTCATACAGACATAAGGAGTTTTGAAGAGGAAGATATAAATTTGGCATTGGTAGACGAGGAATATTACAAGGATGTGAGATTTAAAATGTATAATTAGTAATAAAAATGATTTTTAATAGGTAGCATAGAGAAGAATACCACCTCAAGTACACAAAACAATGAGTAAAATGATAAGGGAGGTGTTACTAAAGGAATATAAGATCTTTTCTGCATCCAGCATACCAACAAATTAGTCTGAAAAGTTATCCCATTAAAAAAAAAGCAACCAAACAACCAAACAAAACTAAATGCTGAAAAAATTACAAAAAAACTTAACACACCATATCATTCAACTCTCAAGAAAATAGAAATAATCATCAAGAGCCAAAATTTTTCTCAAAATGAACCTAGAATGTTAAACCAACTGGATATTAAAAGTAGCTCTGGAAGGAAAAAAAATTGTACTACCAGGAAATAAGGGTTTGAGAGATTAACAGTAGTCTCAGATACTAGTTTTGGGACGTGAGCCTGCACATAATTGTGCAGCTGAATCTGATCACCACACAAAGATCCCTAAGGGACTACAGCCTCAGTGGAAATGAAAAAAAAAAAAAAAAAAAAAAAGGTTAACCAACAGAGTGAAACTGTAGGGCAAACTATCTGTACTTCAATTCCAGTGAAGGAAAATAACAAACAATAATAATATAATTTCCCCTTGAAAACCATATATTTATATAACCATAGATCTGTACTTATGTGGATCTCAGAAATTAATATATGCAACTATGCAGAAGGAAAAATTTCAAGATGAAATAACTATAAAACTGTCATTAAATAATCTCATCTACCATGCTCCATAACTGCACATAACCCTATGAAATTATGTAGTTTAATCCTCATGGCAGCCCTACAGAGGCCATAAGGTTCTGAGTGTGAGTGTCTTGCCCAAGGAAAGACAAATTTGAACCTCAGAAAGTTCAGTTCTAAACCCATGCTCTTCTACCTGTAACTAAGAAGAATCACCTGCACATCTTTCTCATCTCACTGTAACAACACAATAGATTACCTTGATTCTAACATCTTTTGTATAAAACATTTTTTTAATCTGTAATTGGAAAAAAAACATAGAAATTAAGAGGCTAAGAGACAGAAGGAAAAGTAGCATATAGAAAAAAGAGGGACCAGGAAAAGAACAAAGCATATGCAGAACTTTAATATCTGAAAAGGTGATACTGAGATTTGTGGAGAAATGCCGGTTTATTAAATAACACTGGAAATCTTTTATATGGACAACAATTATATATTTGTTTACATGACACAATTCATAAAAATTAATTCCAGGTTTACTTTTTCTGAAATTAATCTCTACATATAAAAAACCAAAAATTTAGAATATAAAAGAGAGAAATATCCATATGTCCTTTAGTGAGCCAAGAATGCCTTTAAAAAATCAAAATATCACAAATCAAAGCGCAGATCAAAAGAGGGAAAATATGTATACGTTTAACTACATTAGGAAATATTAAGCCTATTCAAAGGACACTTTAAAAAGCGAAAGTCAGTTTCATCGGGGAGGCGGGGAGGGATAGCATTAGGAGATATACCTAATGCTAAATGATGAGTTAATGAGTGCAGCACACCAACATGGCACATGTATACATATGTAACAAACCTGCACACTGTGCACATGTACCCTAAAACTTAAAGTATAATAATAATAAAAAAGAACAACATTCAAAAAAAAGAAAAAAGAAAAAAAAAAAGCAAAAGTCAGCCCTTAAACCAAAGAAAGTATTTGCAATGATAACTGGCATTATGAATCTCAAATTCATAAAATCTCAAATATGACTTAAGAAAAAGACAGGATAAAAAAGAACAAGTATTTCATAAAAGAGGAAATATAATGGCCAAATAACATTTTAAAATGTGATCAATTTTATCAGTTATCAGAAAAATTAAAAAGTAAAACTACCATGAAATATTTCACAGCCTCTAAATTGGCAAAAATGTAGAAGTCTGAAAATACAAATATTGCAAGCATATGGAGAAAAGGGATCACACCCTTTAGAGGTAGAAGTGTCACTGGCAGAAAACAGTTTGGAAAACTATTTGGCACTTGCAAATAAATGTGCTATGACTACAGGCAGCCCTATAGATAAATTTCAAAAATAGAATTTTGAATGAAAAAAAGCAAGTCACAGAAGGATGCATACAAAAGTAACATATAGAGTTCAAACATAAAAACGCAGTATATCTCTTTGGTGGTACATATGTATATCGTAAAACCATAATTAAATCAAGGGAATGATAAACATAAATCTTAGAAAAGTGCTTACTCTAAACAGAAGGTTGTGACCGAGCACGATGGATCATGCCTATAATCCCAGCACTTTGGGAGGCTGAGGCGGGAGGATCACCTGAGGTCAGGAGTTTGAGACCAGCCTGGCCAACATGGTGAAGCCCTGTCTCTACTAAAAATACAAAAATTAGCTGGGCATGGTGGCAGGCACCTGTAGTCCCAGCGAACTCTGGAGGCTGAGGCAGGACAATCGCTTGAACCAGGAAGGCGGAGGTTGCAGTGAGCCAAGATCACACCACGGCACTTCAGCTTGGGTGACAGAGCAAGACTCCATTTCAAAAAAATGAAATAAATAAATAAATAAATATAATAAAATAAACAGAAAGTTGAGATGCAACTATTAGCAGGTAGATAGTACGCACAGGATCTTCAATAGTACTCAATACATTTTTAACTGGGTGGTGAGTGGGTTATTTAGATGGCCAATGAAGAATCTAATCAGGCAATAAAGAGGTCAGCAAAATTCTGATATTTAAAGGAAATGAGTAAGGAAGACCATCACTGGGAGTGGTGCAGAATTATACCTACCAGAATTAAGTTATGAAAATAGGAACAGGTAACAACAAAAAAGTGTATAAAGATATCATTGCCCAAGGGACATTGGTTACAAAGAGAAATACCTGTTGAAGAGGATAGTTTTGATGTCTCCATTCACAGAGGATATAAGAAAATTTTATCAAATCTACTTGTGATTCAAGTTGACTCTATAAGGACTATATAGCCTAGGACCTTTGATCAGTTTTTGCTCTAAAAACAACCCTATTAATGTCCAAAATTATTCTTCCAATCTCAGCCTTCCTGAGATAATAAATCCGCCTCATCAGAGTTAAATAAACAATCAAATATAATGATGATGTTAATCCAATCTAAAGCATTCATGGTTTTATAATAACTTTAGAAAAAGTGTTTGGTTATTGTATCATTAACCCAAAAGAATATGACATATCAAGTAATCTGAAAATTAGCCTTGAAATTTACACTTGAAATTTATAATTGATTTAAGACTTGTAACTTCAAGATTCAAACACAAGGGGATTTAAACTTTAGAGTATGTAAGACAACTTGATTCACTACAAGTTTAATATGATAGCTTAACAAGAATTATTTAAGGAATTACAAAGATTTTGCCAGATAGCTCTGTAAGACTGACCTATCACACATCTGAAGGCTTTTTATGAAAAATTAAATATATTATATAATCAGTTTAAAATATTTATGTAAATTTAGCTAACTTCTAAATTTGAATGTTTCATAGATTTTAATCTATTAAACTTTATTTTAATGTGATTGTTCATATTTCTGATGAAAATTACTTGATTTATGGCAATGTTAACATGAACTTAAGAGTTTAAAGTCTGTATTTCTAATTTGTAATTTTGATACATTTAATGCTAAGTTAAAATTGAGGTAATTGTAAGTAGTCTTGGTCACAAAATCATACCTTGAGTCTTAAAATAAAGACAAAAATTGTTAGAAAACCTTAAGAAATTACAAAAATGTGAGGCAAGTCAAAGAGGAAAGAAATCACTTGAAATGGATCATGGTATGATTTGAAAGATAATTCCAAATGGGATCTAATTAAACTAAAGACCTTCTGCACAGCAAAAGAAACTACCATCACAGTGAACAGGCAACCTACAGAATGGGAGAAAGTTTTTGCAATCTACTCATCTGACAAAGGCCTAATATCCAGAATCTACAAAGAACTCAAACAAATTTACAAGACAAAAACAGCCCCATCAACAAGTGGGCGAAGGATATGAACAGACACTTCTCAAAAGAAGACATTTATGCAGCCAACAGACACACGAAAAAATGCTCATCATCACTGACCATCAGAGAAATGCAAATCAAAACCACAGTGAGATACCAACTCACACCAGTTAGAATGGCAATCATTAAAAAGTCAGGAAACAACAGGTGCTGGAGAGGATGTGGAGAAATAGGAACACTTTTACACTGTTGGTGGGACTGTAAACTAGTTCAACCATTGTGGAAGTCAGTGTGGCGATTCCTCAGGGATCTAGAACTAGAAATACCATTCGACCCAGCCATCCCATTACTGGGTATATACCCAAAGGATTATAAATCATGCTGCTGTAAAGACACATGCACACATATGTTTATTGCGGCACTATTCACAATAGCAAAGACTTGGAACCAACCCAAATGTCCAACAATGATAGACTGGATTAAGAAAATGTGGCACATATACACCATGGAATACTATGCGGCCATAAAAAATGATGAGTTCATGTCCTTTGTAGGGACATGGATGAAGCTGGAAACCATCATTCTCAGCAAACTATCACAAGGACAAAAAAACCAAACACCACATGTTCTCACTCACAGGTGGGAACTGAACAATGAGAACACATGGACACAGGAAGGGGAACATCACACACCGGGGACTGTTGTGGGGTGGGGGGAGGGGGAAGGGATAGCATTAGGAGATATACCTAATGTTAAATGACAAGTTAATGGGTGCAGCACACCAACAAGGCACATGTATACATATGTAACAAACCTGCACGTTGTGCATATGTACCCTAAAACTTAAAGTATAATTAAAAAAAAAAAGAAAGATAATTCCAAAATAACAACATCTATTCAACATATGCTTTTCAGGCAAACACGCTTAGAGTCATTCAATTTAGCTCAGCCCTTTGTAACTGTGTGACTATGGACACAACTCTTACTTAATGTCACTAATCTGCTGCTGCCTCAGATAATAATAGTATATCTCTCTCTCAGGGTTACTGCAAATACTTAATGACTCTATACATGTAAAGCACATACAAGACAAACAATGCCTGATACCTAGTATATATTTAACACAAGTTATTATTTTGATGTTACTATTATTACGACCATGCAAGAAGTTAACGAAGCTCAAACATTTGGTTAATACGGGGGAAATAGGACCATGGAGTAATCAATTCTAATATATATATATTACTACTACATTAGGTTTTTGAGTTGATACTGATTCAACCACTTCGAACTTATAGATGCAGATATGAATTCACAAGAAGAAGGTTTTGTTGTTTTTTTGTGTATATAAGGAGAGCCTAATCTATGTGTTATATTCATCCACCTTCTACATGGAGGCTATGTCCTAGTTAAAATTAGCAGGGTGGGGTGGATGGAGATGATACTAAAGCAATGTATTTATCATCTTTATACTGAACCCTCTAGTAATCCATTAAAGTGTTATTATGATTATTTGCACATCAATTATGAAGAAAATAAGGCATAGAAAAATTCAGTAATTTACCTAAGGTTTTACAACTAGTGAGGGACAAATGTAAAATAAACTTCCTGTTCCTTGAACACTACATACAGTCTCATTATAGTTACTAAATTTCAAAAGCAACCTCAAAATGCAGATCGCCCACCAGATATGATTCTTTTATTCTTCCTTGGAACTCCATCTTAGTAAAATGTGTATTTCTACTTTCTATTTGGTTGTAAAGTTACTATGACCAGAAATATCTTCATCCTCTTCATAATTATATTACTTAATATATTTAGCTATAAACATTTAATGTAAATATTTCTGCTAATCAGATGCTGCCAGGCAAGACTTAGAATTGAGATTGAGAGAGGGTTTTTTCTGTTTTTTTTTTCAAGTGGTTTTTTGTATATCTATACTTGTTCTTTGCTGACGACAGACAAAATCAAAGAGGTGCCGCTGCCCAGTCTCCAATTTTGTAAGCATCAAAAGGTTGTTGCAGTAGCAGTGGCAGATTGACTCATTGTTCTAATATCTGGTCACCAGTTTTGTGGATGTAAGAAAGGACCAAGTAGAAGTGATCACCAGATTCTATGTGCCAGTGTTCAGGAAGTTGCAGTAATGCTTAATTGCTCCTAGCATACTGGTATCTAGATCATAATTACAGTTTTTCAGTTTAGTATTGAACTGTCAGACCCTTGATTCTCCACCTTTCTGATTGAGATACAGATAGCATCCCTGCCAGGTCAGTTCTGTGATATTCTGAAGCTAATTCCTGAAGGCACAGTCTAGAGCTTGCTTCCAGCTTTTCTGATGATTTTGTAGGCAATCATCAGAAAAGCTGGAAGCAATCATTTTAATTCCCTGAATTAAATAGATTTCTGCTTAAAATTGCACTCCACTGATATATTCTGTCATACAGACAAACTGCTTCCTACAATTATGATGTGTCTGGGTGAATTCATTCCATGTATTTTTCAGATTGAAATCATGTCCAGATAAGCTATAACCACCAACTCACATACTTGGTCTGGTTTTTACAAACAAGTGATTTTGGTTTTGAAACTTAGGGTGTGGCTCTCACATTGAGAAAATATGCACACTGGTCTCTTCTGAAATGTACACACAATGATATCTTCACTCTGCTTTTTCATGTGCTTCTGCTCTATCTTCTTGATTTTGATACTTTCTACTTATTTGGAGGATGAGACTTCAGATGTTTCCTATTTTCACTGAAGAGGAAGTTTGCATTTCTGTTTTTTACAGAATGCACTGAATGCTTTGTGAGATTCTCACACAGCACAGAATGCTTTTAGGAGATTTCTAAAAGGATAATGAGAAAATGTTAATTTTACTTACCCATGTTCAAAGAGGAATTCTGCATTTGTTCTTTCCTTGAGATACCTCAGGCCTCAAAATATATAATAAACTTTCAGCTTCTTCTGGGCTGGATGCTTAATTTTTAAATGTCTTGTTTTAAAATGTCTTATGAATAACAATGGAGCCAAACTATCATTAGGCGATATGTCATGATGCTTGAAGTAATTTCCACTGGTAATTGTAGTAGATATAAATTCATAATTCAATTACACTTCTACATTTCAAATTTGGGTCCTAATTCTTGTCACTTTTGATTGGATATCATTGGCTTTAGTTTGTAATTAGATACATAAAAAGTCCATAATAGTTGATACATTATACCTCATACATCTAGAATAATAGATATAGAAAATGTAGCAACTTAGCTACTCCTCATTCTTCACTTGTGGTTACACTAGAATATTTTCAACCAGTGGTTTCCTTCAAGGAATAATTTTAAGCCTCCTTCATTAATTTTCTTTTGCATCTTTGTCAAAAATCAGTTGAGTATATTTCTGGGTTATCTATTCTATTTATTGATGTGTGTGTCTATCCCTCTGACAATATGACACTGTCTTGATTACTATAGCTATCTAGTAAGACTTCATATCAGGTAGCAGTCTCATAATTCCTCCTATATTATTCTTCTTTGTAATAATCAAAACATGCAAAGATGTACTGAGTGAAAAAATGTGAGTTCTCTCCTCCCTACTCTCTCCAACCTCTGGTAACCACTGTTCTACTCTCCTTTTCTATGAGAACAACTTTTAGATTCCCATATGAGTCAAATCATGTGGTATGTGTCTTTATGTGTCTAGCTTATTCGACTTAACATAATGTCCTCCAAGTCCATCCACATTGCTGCAAATAACAGGATTTCATTTTTTTTATAGCTAAATAGTACATTTTTATCCACTCATCCATTGATGGACACATAGTTTGATTCTATACCTTGGCTATTGTGACTAGTACTGCACTAAACATGGGAATGCAGATATCTCCTCAACACAATGATTTCATTTACTTTGGATAAATATCCAGTAGTGCAATAGTCAGATCATATGGTAGTTCTTCTTTTAATTTTTTTGAGAAACCTCTATGTGGTTTCTATAATGGCTGTCCTAACTTAAATTCCTTCCAGTAGTGTATAAGAGGTTCATTTTTTCCACATCACTGAGGTGAGGTGATATCTCATTGTAGTTTTAATTTTCACTTCACTAATGATTAGTGATGCTGAGCAGTTTTTACTATACCCGTTGGCCATTTGTATGTCTTCTTTTGAGAACTGTCTATTCAGATATTTGCTCATTTTTAATAGGGTTATTTGGGTTTTTTCTTATTAAGTGGTTGAAATTTATTATATATAATGGATGTTAGTTCTTTATCAGATGTATAGTTTGTAAATATATCCTCCCATTCTGTAGGCCATATACAACAAACCCACAGCTAACATCATACAGAACAAAGAAAAGCTGAAAGCTTTCTCTCTAAGAGCTGGAAGAAGACAAAAATGTCCATTTTTACCACTTTCATTCAGCTTAGTGCTGGAAATCCTAGCCAGAGCAATCAAGCAATAGAAAGAAATAAAAGGCATTTGAATTGGAAAGGAGAAAATCAAATTGTCCCTGTTTGCAGATAAGAAGATCTTATATATAGAAAACCCCAAAGACTGCATGAAAAAAATTTAGAATAAACAAGTTTAGTAAATTTGTATAATACAAAATTAAAATACACAGATTATTAGCATTTTTATACACCAATAAAATTAACTGAAAAAGAAATCAAGAAAGCAATTCCTTTTACAATAGCTACAAAAACAATTGATTACCTTGGAGTAAATTTAACCAAAGAAGTGAAAGATGACTACAGTAAAAACTATAAAACATTTATTGTATATGTATATGTATATGTATATGTATATGTGTATATAGAAAAAAATTGAAGACAGTTGAATCCAATGTTCATGGATTGAAAGAATTAATATAGTTAAAATGTTCATATTACCCAAAGCAATCTATAAATTCAATGCAATCCCTATTAGAATATCAATTACATTCTTCACAGAAATAGAAAAAGTCATCCTAACTGTGTTTCGAAACACTAAAGACCCTGAATAGCCAAAGCAATCTTCAGCATAAATAACAAAGCTGATGGCACCATGCCACCTGACTACAAAACATACTGTAAAGCTATAGTAAACAAAATATCATGCTACTGGCATAAAAGCAGACACAAACAATACAACAGAAGAGAAAGCCCAAAAATAAAGGTCCAGTGAATTTTTGACAAAGGTACCAAGAACACACAATGGGGAAATGACAGCCTCTTCAACAAACTGTGTCAGAAAACTTAATATCCGCATGCAGAAGAATAAAGGAAGGTAGACCCTTGTCTCTCACCATATACAAAAATTAACTGAAAATAGATTAAAGACTTAAATGGAAGACCCAAAACCATGACACTACTAGAAAAAACAGAAAAAATCTCCATGACATTGAAATAGAAAAGGATTTTTTGGATATAACCTTAAAAGCACAGGCAATAAAAGTGAAAACAGACAAATAAATTACATTAAACTAAAAAGACTCTGCACAGGAAAGGAAACAATCAATAGAGCAAAAACAGAAAACCTTTATTTCTCTGTATCACACTGGTAAAAGCTAGGAATTACTTTATATCTCATTGCACAAAATTCACCAGTGAAGTTTTTCTGTATTTCCAGAAGTAAGACTTCAGAAGTATATTGATATTTGAACGGCCAAATTCTTTATATTATCCCTATGAGAATGCCTAAGGCTAGAAAATGAAGGCTATTTATTTTCTTTCCTCTTCCTCCTTTTATGTGGGGGATGAGGGATGGGTAGAGATATGGAACTCAAACTATATAAGAGCAAAAATTATGAAGACTATATTTCTGAAAGCAACTATAATCCTATGAAAAAATAATTGTCCCTGGGCTGAGTAATACCAGTAATTTTTACTTATCATATGTAACTCAGGCAGTATGAAACTTTTTTTTGTTTGTTTTGATTTCTGTTATGTTTTGTTTTGCTTTTAACTACAGGTTACAATACGAATACCAGATGTAGAATATGTCAGACATTTTAGCCCTCACTCAAAGACATTACCTTCTGCCCCTTCGTTATGCCCATCTCCTACCACTACCTGGCCCATTAACATCACTAGTCTAGTAAATACTCTCAGAAGCCACTATTAGTTATCATTCTATTGCTGACCCAATGAAAGAGTTAACTTAAAATTAGTGTAATACTGTGGGTTGATGGAGAAAGTAATAGGATTTTAACTTTCATATTCAAAACAATTTTCCACAAGAAATAAAGGTCCATCCATGAGTCATTTAAATGGAGATGGAGCAAAAAAACAGAAAAAAGATGGATAGGGATTGTGATCTAAATATCTTTCTCTACTGCTTCTCTTCATACCATGAGGCATAATTAGGTAAAAAGAAAATTAATAAAACTAATAAATTAAGGATCAAATTTTTTGAATAAGAAAATATATAAGAAAAATGAATTTTATTGAATAAAAAATTATAAATGTGTAAAACTAATCCAGACATAGAGAATTTTTATTACGGTAAATATTAATTAACTTTATGTTTTTTTAACTAAAACAAATGCCCTGCCATTTCCTGCAGCTTTCTTAGGCTGTCGTAGCAACTTAGATGAACACCATATAAGTAGAAGCATAGATTATTGAATCTCAGAATCTAAGGACACCCTCTCAGCCACAAAGCATATATTGATAATGCCATATCTTTTTTTTTTTCTTTTTCTTTTTTTTTTTTTAGACAGGGTCTCGCCCAGGCTGGAGTGCAGTGGTGCGATCTCAGCTCACTGCAAGCTCTGCCTCCCGGATTCAAGCCGATTCTCCTAGCTCAGCCTCCCAAGTAGCTGGGATTACAGGCTCATGCCACCACATCCGGCTAGTTTTTGTATTTTTAATAGAGTAAGGGTTTCATCATGTTGGCCTGGCTGGTCTCCAACTCCTGACCTCAGGTAATCCGCCCGCCTCAGCCTCCCAAAGTGCTGGGATTACAGGCATGAGCCACCGCACCCAGCCAATAATGCCATATTTTAAGTAAGATCTTGAGTGAGGCAAATTCAAGAAATGGAATATTCACAAAGACTTTTTAAGTATCGCTCCATCCCATCATCATGATTACCAACAATAAGGGCTAAAACATTACAAACAAAAATGTTGTCAATGATCATCATTGGGTAGTGGTTGACTGAGTCTGACACACCATTTTATTGTACTATATAAGTTTTTATTATCTTAATATCTTAAATTTAAAAATTTATTATTGAAAAACAACCTTTAGTTCCCCTGAAAACTAACAAGACACAAATAGGAGTTATTATGGGAAGGCATTGCCCACATCTTTTAATTGTGGCTTATATTTGCTAATTTTCAAAGCACTATGAGAACTCTTTGATTTATTGGAATTTACAATAAAGGTTTTCAAAATATAAGATACAAACTTGCCCAGAATTTTTGTAAAATTCTGTGTGGTATTCATGAGGGATACTCATCAACATACTGGTATCTCTTCCTGAATATACTGCTATTTTACTTCAACATTCTGTTTAATTAGGGATAGATATATGAATAGATTTGGATATTTGAAAGGAAACACAAGTCATATATATTCCTTATAAGCAGAATCCTTCAAGAGTGTGTGCTTTTAAAAATGTTGTCCAAATTCTTTTATCTACTGGTATGTGCGCAGTGATGTTCCAGATAGTGAAGTTTCAGCTTGTATTTTAGATTAAAGATGGTATAGGCTGTATTCATTTTTTAGGGCAACCATAATAAACAACCACAAATATTTGGTTTAGAAAAACAGATATTTATTATCTCACTGTTCTGGAGTCCAAAATAAAGGTTCCAACAAACTATTCTCCCTCTGAAGGCTCTACAGGAGAATCTTTCCTTGCCTCTTCCAGCTTCTGGTAGCTCCTGTCATTATTGGGTATAAAGATGCATTACTCCAGTCTAGCCTTTGTCTTCACATTGTCTATGTATGTCTTTTTGCATACTTCTCTATCTCTTGTAAGGATACTGTCATTGGATTTAAGGCCCATCCTAATCCTGTATGATCTCCTATCAATCCTTACTTTAATTATGTCTGAAAATAACATATTTTCAAATAAGTAACATTCTAAAGTTCCAAATTAACACAAATACTATTCAACCCACTACATACCACATACAGTGTAAGCAAGAAATAAAATTTGTTTTTTTAAACCACTGAGAATTTGGGATTATTTGTTATTGTAGGAAAACCTAAACCATTCTAAGTTCTATCCCCCTTTTCAGAAAGAAAGTTTCTAAATTGAATTAATGAATGTTATTTTAAATGTAAAGATTCCTGGAGGGTGTAAGTTAACAATGCAATCTATAATATTAATTGCATCTGCTATCATTGAACAACTTCCACATTAAACAATATTAAATGTCTTTGGTATTAGTACAATTAATCAATGTTCACACAAGGGGAAATTATAAAGCTTGTTCCCACACAGAACCCATTTGAACATTTTAACTTATTTAACCAGCAAATTAATTAAATGGAAGTTAACTCAAATATTGTGTGTGTGTGTGTGTGTGTGTGTGTGTGTGTGTGTGTTGGAGGATGAGGTCTATTATATAGCAAAGGGGAAACAAACTATCATCTGTTTAATATCCATTAAGTACCTGGCATTATTACAGAGGCTTCTCACATATTTTATCTCATTTTTTCCTCCTAACACAGCTGTTAAATATTATAATTCCCATTTTATACATGATGAAACTGCAGCTTGGAGAGTTTAGGTAATTTGGTCAAGGCTATAAAACCAGAAAGAAGCAAAGTCTGAATTCTTATCTAAGATTACTGATCAACAAAGACCATTTTATTTCTATTATATTGCAACACTAATAGAATAAACTAAGTTGATTAAATGACTTTGGGACTAGTCGAATCTTTTGCAACAGATAGAGATATTTATAGACAGATGTAGAGCAAGTAGCCCAAATTAGAAGCTATCCCATCTTCTTTGCAGATGAACTTTGACTTTGTTTTATAAATGTGTGAGATTGCTTTGTAAAAGATAGAAGGTTGGCTAAAGCAAAATATATTTGTGTCATTTGATTCTAAGCACAGTGACCCATCAGGAAAAGGGAAGAATAAAATGGTGGTATGAATATGAACCTACTTTGATTATTGGTTAAAGTCTAATTATACTATACTTTTTTAACAAGGTAAGAAAGAACTCAGCTCAATCTCTCATTAGCAGGAATTTCCACTGAAGAACCTATATGAGAACATTGAAAATTAGGTACAAAATATCTTGTTTATCAGAGATCAAAGTGCTCACTAATTCTGCAAAGAGGAAGAAATTACAAATGGATAATCCTAAGTAAATCATGGACTCATGGACTCCAAATGCTTAAGACTTAAACACAAACCATAAATAATTTTCCGCTATACAAGACAGATATGACTTATTTATTTTTAGTGTTGGCATAAAAATTCTAAATGAGTTACCCAGGTTTAGATACAAGCCTGCTATTAAGAAAACATTTTATGAAATCTTAT
Organism: Homo sapiens; assembly: GCF_000001405.40. Lineage (NCBI taxonomy): Eukaryota > Metazoa > Chordata > Mammalia > Primates > Hominidae > Homo > Homo sapiens. Next base: position 96,919,155 of record NC_000011.10, on the reverse strand, counting down.
GAGAATCATAGATTCATGTCTGTTCTCATTTATACTATATGCTAGCCATATTTATTTTATTTGATCCTTATGGAACACATTGTAATTTTTAGCTCTTGTGCTTTAAAATTAAGCTAATATAATAGTAATTTTGTTATTACTTCCAATATTTTCCAATATTTGAAGCTTCTTTGGATGTAAGTTCTACTTCTAAGTCAATTTATTCAAAAAATTGTACTTGCATTGTCATAAATTGTAATCTTAAAATGGAAATTCTTCTTAAAGTTTAGAAAACAACAATCCACAGACACCTCTTGCACAAGAGGCAAACTTATTCTCCTCAACAATTTTAGATATGCCAAGGCTTCTTTACTCTTAAGGAGTAAAGAATGAATAGAAAGTTATACACAAAAGTTTTAGATCTGAAGAAAGTGTCAAATGACACATCAAAAGGAATGCAATGGGTAAGAAAGATGTTTCCAGGCATTAAGAAGCTACAGATAGTTTTGTGTGATGATGTTTTAAGTTATGTTTAATGATAACAGTCATAACTGGAACTACAGAGATAAAATCCATTAAGACTTTTCTACTTAAATCTGAACATTGAAGAGTTTTAGGAAAAGAAAATACAATGCTTACCTACAAGGGTTGAACAATCCATAATTACAAATTTTCCTGACCACATAATGTGGTTTAGCCAAACAAAAATTATTATGCTTGTTGTCTTTAGAAAGTTCCAAGTTGAACAAATACTTCAGATATCTTTATGTTTTATGTTTATTGATTCAACAACATTCAACAAATGTGTCTGGGGTCCTACTATGTCATGAGCCCCATTCTAGAGCCTAGGAATGAGGTAATTAGTAAAAAAGATAAAAAATATTTTCCCTCACAGAGCTTACAATATAGTGACAAAATATTTTACATAAATGAATATGTAAAATATACATTATGGTAAACGGGAAGCAGTGACGTGGAGAAAAATTAAGGAAGAGAATAAAGAGTGCTGGGGTAGGAACAAAATTTTAAGTAGGGAAGTCAAGAAAGTCTTCAAAGAAACGGTGGCATTGGTAATGAGACTTGATGAATGTGTAGGAATGAAACCAAGATGATTTTGGGGTGAAAGAGAGTTACCAGTGGAAATAACAAGTGCAAAGACCCAGAGGTGGGAATATGCCTGCTACATTTCAGGACAGAAAGAAAGCCAGTGTGGCTGGAACACAGTGTAATGGGCCTTACAGGCAACGAAAGATTAGACTTTGTACAGAGTGGGCACAACTGATATCTGAAAAGAATATTCTGGTAGCCAGAGTAGAATAAGTATTATAGTAATTGGCCATCTGACAAAAATGCCACCTCAACCAAATTTTGTTTGTTTACCTATTTGGACTTATTTATAAGTTTTTTTTCCTATTTTTAAATGGAAAAATGTGAGTGAATAAATAAAATGGGGAAGAAGAATACTAAACTTGAAATTTTCCACACTTGTTAAAGTCACAGCCAAGAATTAAAACAGGCATATGAAAAATTTTCTAAACAGACAGATTTATATTGCAAATTACCCAATGAAAAGAATCCAGTAATTTAAAGCAAAATACGACCACCAGAGGGAAGACATGATTTCTAGTCTACTTCACTTTCTTATATTCATGACACAAAAAGAATGACCATGTATGTGAGTTCAACTCTCCACATATTTGATCTATAATATTTTGCCATATTTTTTATTCAAAGTATACCTTATCCAAGACATTATCGCCAGTTTTAAGCAGTGTAAATTTTGCCTCATATCTGTCAGTTTATAAAATTTTTGTTCATGCCGAGAAATTTTGAGAGAGAAATATATGATAATTATGTTCAACACAGACCATATCCATTTACCATTAGATACAATTCATCCAATGGAAGAGAAAGGATGACTGTTTCTGTAGCTGTCCTTTCTATTTTTTCTTCAAATCAATAGGTCATTTTGTTAGTTCGTTTTCATGCTGCTGATAGACATACCCAAGACTGAGTAATTTACAAAAGAAAGAGGTTTAATGGATTTACAGTTCTACATGGCTGGAGAAACCTCACAATCATGGTGGAAGGCAAGGAGGGCAAGTCACATCTTACGTGGATGGTGGCAGGCAAAGAGAGAGAGTTTGTGCAGGGAAACTCCCATTGTTAAAAACATCAGATCTCATGAGACTTATTCACTATCATGAGAACAGCACAGGAAAGAATCACCCCTATGATTCAGTTATCCCCCACTGGGTCCCTCCCACAACATGTGGGAATTATGGGAGCTACAATATGAGATTTGGGTGGAGACACAGTACCAAACCATATCATCCCACCCCTGGTCCCTCCCAAATCTCATGCCCTCACATTTCAAAACCAATCATGCATTCTTAACAGTCCTCCAAAGTCTTAACTCATTTCAGCATTTACTTGAGAGTCCACAGTCCAACATCTCATCTGAAACAAGGCAAGTCCTTCCCCATTTGAGCCTGTAAAATCAAAAGCAAGTTAGCTACTTCCTGGATACAACGGGGGTACAGGCACCGGGTAAATACAGCCATTCCAAATTGGAGAAATTGTCCAAAACAAAGGGGCTAAAGGCCCCATGCAAGTCTGAAATCCAGCGCGGCAGTCAAATCTTGAAGCTCCAAAACAATCTCCTTTGCCTCCATGTATCACATCCAGTTCATGCTGATGCCATAGGTGGGCTCCCATGGCCTTGGGCAGCTCCACCTCTGTGGCTTTGCAGGGTGCAGCCTCCCTCCTGGCTGCCTTCACGTGTGGCATTGAGTGTCTGTGGCTTTTGCAGGCACAGAGCACAAGCTGTCAGTAGATCTACCATTTTGGGGTCTGGAGGATGGTGGCTCTCTTCTCACAGCTCCATTAGGTGGTACCCCAGTAGGGACTCTGTGTGGGGGCTCTGACCCCATATTTTCCTTCTGAACTGCCCTAGCATAGGTTCTCCATGAGAGCCCCGCCCCTGCAGCAAACTTCTGCCTGGGCATCCAGGTGCTTCCATTGATCGTCTGAAATCTAGGCAGAGGTTACCAAACCCCAGTGCTTGACTTCTGTGCACTCACAGGCTCAACACCATGTGGAAGCTGCCAAGGCTTGGGGTGTGCACCCTCTGAAGCCACAGCCTGAGCTCTACGTTGGCCCCTTTCAGCCTTGGCTGGAGCATCTGGGACACAGGGAACCAAGTTTTCTATGCTGCACAAAGAACAGAGATGTTGGGCCCAGCCCATGAAACCAGTTTTCCTCCTAGGCCTCCAGACCTGTGATGGGAGGGGTTGCCGCAAAGACCACTGGCATGCCCAGGAGACATTTTCCCCATTGTCTTGGAGATTTACGTTCAGCTACTTGTTATGTATGAAAATTTCTGCAGCCCACTTGAACTTCTCCTCAGAAAACAGGATTTTCTTTTCTATGACATTGTCAGGCTGCAAATTTTCCAAACTTTTATGCTCTGCTACCCTTATAAAACTGAATGCTTTCAACAGCACCCAGTGAATGCTTTGCTGCTTAGAAATTTCTTCCACGAGATATCCTAAACCATCTCTCTCAATTTCAAAATTTTACACATCCCTACAGCAGGGGGAAAACACCACCAGTCTTTTTGCTAAAACATAACAAGAGTCACCTTTACTCCAGTTCCCAACAAGTTCCTCATCTCCATTCTCAGCCTGGATTTCACTGTCCATATCATTATCAGCATTTTGGTCAAAGTCATTCAACAAGTCTCTAGGCAGCTCCAAACTTTCCCACATTTTCCTGTCTTCTTCTGAGCCCTCCAAACTGTTCTCTGCCTCTCACCCAGTTCCAAAGTCATTTCCACATTTTCGGGTATCTTTTCAGCAGTGTCCCACTCTATTGGTACCAATGTACTGTATTAGTCCGCTTTCACACAGCTGATAAAGACATACCTGAGACTGGACAATTTACAAAAGAAAGAGGTTTAATGGACTTACAGTTCTACATGGCTGTGGAGGCCTCACAATCATGATAGAAGGCAAGGAGGATCAAGTCACATCTTATGTGGACTGCATCAGGTAAAGGCAGAGAGCTTGTGCAGGGAAACTCCCATTTTTAAAAGCATCAGATCTTGTGAGACTTATTCATTATCTCACAAGAACATCATGGGAAAGACCTACCACCTTGACTCAATTATCTCCCACCAGGTCTCTCCCACAACGTGGGAATTATGGGAGCTACAAGATGAGATTTGGGTGGGGACACAGAGCCAAACCTCATCAGTCATTTATCTTTGGGAAATTAGAAATTAATTTGTAAATTTATTAAACTGGTTTCTAATATATGATTCACTATTTGTATTTACTCTCTTGCCCAATTTTCTATATGATTTAAAATATACTTACAAATTGTATAAAATGTATATATTATCCTTCCTAAGATTTTCATAAAATGGTCCAATTCTCTTTCCCCAGATAAGTCTAATTCTCTCTTTCCTATAGAGTGTAAAACAAATTATATATTGACTAAATGCATAACGATTGGCTTTTAAGCATTTGACCTAAGGGCACAAACATTTAAAAAAATAGCTTAATGCACTTTAAATCATTAAAATGTTTTCTACATTTAAATGGCTTTAAAAAATTCAATGACCAAGGTACTTTTTTGATTACACTTGCCCAAGAAGAAGTAGCAAATATAATAATGAAATCCGTTAAATTGACAATTTACCTTTGCCATACTATAATAAGTCACAGAGGGAGGGAGGGAGAGGAAGGGGAAGTGAGAGAGAGAGAGAGAGAGAGGGAGAGGGAGAGAGGGAGAGAGAGAGAGAGAGAGAGAGAGAGAGAGAGAGAGAGAGAGAGAGAGAGAGAGAGACAGAAAAGCAGATGAGGCATGGTCTCATGGAGACTCATACATTGCTCCACCACAAGTGAGTATTTGAGATGGAATGAAAAGGAGGATGACAGTTTTCAAACTATAACGTTCTCATTTTTTTAATTTTTGAGATAATTAAATAAAGAAAAAGAAAGAAAAGAGTTGACTTTCAATAGGGGTATCAGCACTAACCTCCACACCCTCATCATTGTAAACACATGTGCTTTCTGACTTTTCTTTTTTTCTTTTTTTAAAATATATATGTATTTTTTATTATACTTTAAGTTCTAGGGTACATGTGCACAACATGCAGGTTTGTTACATATGTATACATGTGCCATGTTGGTGCGTTGCACCCATTAACTCGTCATTTACATTAGGTATATCTCCTAAGGCTATCCCTCCCCCCTCCCCCCACCTCACAACAGGCCCCGGTGTGTGATGTTCCTTTCCTGTGTCCAAGTGTTCTCATTGTTCAATTTCCACCTATGAGTGATGTTTGTTTTTTTGTCCTTGCGATAGTTTGCTGAGAATGATGGTTTCCAGCTTCATCCATGTCCCTACAAGGGACATGAACTCATGGATTTTTTTATGGATGCATAGTATTCCATGGTGTATATGTGCCACATTTTCTTAATCCAGTCTATCATTGTTGGACATTTGGGTTGGTTCCAAGTCTTTGCTATTGTGAGTAGTGCCACAGTAAACATACATGTGCATGTGACTTTATAGCAGCATGATTTATAGTCCTTTGGGTATATACCCAGTAATGGGATGGCTTCGTCAAATGGTATTTCTAGTTCTAGATCCCTGAGGAATCGGCACACTGTCTTCCCCAATGGTTGAACTAGTTTACAGTCCCACCAACAGTGTAAAAGTGTTCCTATTTCTCCACATCCTCTCCAGCACCTGTTGTTTCCTGACTTTTTAATGATCACCATTCTAACTGGTGTGAGATGATATCTCATTGTGGTTTTGATTTGCATTTCTCTGATGGCCAGTGATGATGAGCATTTTTTCATGTGTCTTTTGGCTGCATAAATGTCTTCTTTTGAGAAGTGTCTGTTAATATCCTTTGCCCACTTTTTGATGGGGTTGTTTCTTTTTTTTCTTGTAAATTTGTTTGAGTTCTTTGTAGATTCTGGATATTAGCCCCTTGTCAGATGAGTAGGTTGCAAAAATTTTCTCCCATTCTGTAGGTTGCCTGTTCACTCTGATGGTAGTTTCTTTTGCTGTGCAGAAGCTCTTTAGTTTCATTAGATCCAATTTGTCAATTTTTGGCTTTTGTTGCCGTTGCTTTTCGTGTTTTAGACATGAAGTCCTTGCCCATGCCTATGTCCTGAATGGTAATGCCTAGGTTTTCTTCTAGGGTTTTTATGTTTTCAGGTCTAACATTTAAGTCTTTAGTCCATTTTGAATTAACTTTTGTATAAGGTGTAAGGAAGGGATCCAGTTTCAGCTTTCTACATATGGCTAGCCAGTTTTCCCAACACCATTTGTTAAATAGGGAATCCTTTCCCCGTTTCTTGTTTTTGTCAGGTTTGTCAAAGATCAGATAGTTGTAGATATGTGGTATTATTTCTGAGGGCTCTGTTCTGTTCCATTGGTGTATGTATCTGTTTTGGTACCAGTATCATGCTATTTTGGTTACTGTAGACTTGTATAGTTTGAAGTCAGGTAGCATGATGCCTCCAGCTTTGTTCTTTTGGCTTAGGATTGACTTGGCAGTGTGGGCTCTTTTTTGGTTCCATATGAACTTCAAAGCAGTTTTTTCCAATTCTGTGAAGAAAGTCATTGGTAGCTTGTTGGGGATGGCATTGAATCTATAAATTACCTTGGGCAGTATGGCCATTTTCACAATATTGATTCTTCCTACCCATGAGCATGGAATGTTCTTCCATTTGTTTGTGTCCTCTTTTCTTTCGTTGAGTAGTGGTTTGTAGTTCTCCTTGAAGAGGTCCTTCACATCCTTTGTAAGTTAGATTCCTAGGTATTTTATTCTCTTTGAAGCAATTGTGAATGGGAGTTCACTCATGATTTGGCTCTCTGTCTGTTACTGGTGTATAAGAATGCTTGTGATTTTTGCACATTGATTTTGTATACTGAGACTTTGCTGAAGTTGCCTATCAGCTTAAGGAGATTTTGGGCTGAGACGATGGGGTTTTGTAGATATCCAATCATGTCATCTGCAAACAGGGACAATTTGACTTCCTCTTTTCCTAATTGAATACCCTTTATTTCCTTCTCCTGCCTGATTGCCCTAGCCAGAACTTCCAACACTATGTTGAATAGGAGTGGGGAGAGAGGGCATCCCTGTCTTGTGCCAGTTTTCAAAGGGAATGCTTCCAGTTTTTGTCCATTCAGTATGATATTGGCTGTGGGTTTGTCATAAATAGCTCTTATTATTTTGAGATATGTCCCATCAATACCTAATTTATTGGGAGTTTTTAGAACGAAGGGCTGTTGAATTTTGCCAAAGGCCTTTTCTGCATCTATTGAGATAAACATGTGGTTTTTGTCTTTGGTTCTGTTTATATGCTGGATTACGTTTATTGATTTGTGTATGTTGAACCAGCCTTGCATCCCAGGGATGAAGCCCACTTGGTCATGGCAGATAAGCTTTTTGATGTGTTGCTGGATTCGGTTTGCCAGTATTTTATTGAGAATTTTTGCATCTATGTTCATCAGGGATATTGGTCTCAAATTCTCTTTCTTGTTGTGTCTCTGCCAGGCTTTGGTATGAGGATGATGCTGGCCTCATAAAATGAGTTAGGGAGGACTCCCTCTTTTTCTATTGATTGGAATAGTTTCAGAAGGAATGGTACCAGGTTCTCCTTGTACCTCTGGTAGAATTCGGCTGTGAATCCATCTGGTCCTGGATTTTTTTGGTTGGTACGCTATTAATTATTGCCTCAATTTCAGAGCCTGTTATTGCTCTATTCAGAAATTCAACTTCTTCCCGGTTTAGTCTTGGGAGGGTGTATGTGTCAGGAATTTATCCATTTCTTCTAGATTTTCTAGTTTATTTGTGTAGAGGTGTTTATAGTATTCTCTGATGGTAGTTTGTATTTCTGTGGGATCAGTGGTGACATCCCCTTTATCATTTTTATTGGTTCTATTTGATTCTTCTCTCTTTTCTTCTTTATTAATCTTGCTAGCGGTCTATTAATTTTGTTGATCTTTTCAAAAAACCAGCTCCTGGATTCATGGATTTTTTTTGAAGGGATTTTGTGTCTCTATTTCCTTCAGTTCTGCTCTGATCTTAGTTATTTCTTGCCTTCTGCTAGCTTTTAAATGTGTTTGCTCTTGCTTCTCTAGTTCTTTTAATTGTGATGTTAGGGTATCAATTTTAGGTCTGTCCTGCTTTCTCTTGTGGGCATTTAGTGCTATAAATTTCCCTCTACCTACTGCTTTAAATGTGTCCCAGAGATTCTGGTATGTTGTGCCTTTGTTCTCTTTGGTTTCAAAGAACATCTTTATTTCTGCCTTCATTTCATTGTGTATCCAGTAGTCATTCAGGAGCAGGTTGTTCAGTTTCCATGTAGTTGAGCAGTTTTGAGTGAGTTTCTTAATCCTGAGTTCTAGTTTGATTGCACTGTGGTCTGAGAGACAGTTTGTTATAATTTCTGTTCTTTCACATTTGCTGAGGAGTGCTTTACTTCCAACTATGTGGTCAATTTTGGAATAGGTGCGGTGTGGTGGTGAGAAGAATGTGTATTCTGTTGATTTGGGGTGGAGAGTTCTGTAGGTGTCTATTAGGTCGGCTTGGTGCAGAGCTGAATTCAATTCCTGGATATCCTTGTTAACTGTCTCATTGATCTGTCTAATGTTGACAGTGGGGTGTTAAAGTCTCAGATTATTATTGTGTGGGAGTCTAAGTCTCTTTGTAGGTCTCTAAGGACTTGCTTTATGAATCTGGGTGCTCCTGTATTGGGTGTATATGTATTTAGGATAGTTAGCTCTTTTAGTTGAATTGATCCCTTTACCATTATGTAATGGCCTTCTTTGTCTCTTTTGATCTTTGTTGGTTTAAAGTCTGTTTTATCAGAGACTAGGATTGCAAGCCCTGCTTTTTTTGTTTTCCATTTGCTTGGTAGATCTTAGAAGAGAGTGGGGGCCAATATTCAACATTCATAAAGAAAAGAATTTTCAACCCAGAATTTCATATCCAGCCAAACTAAGCTTCACAAGTGAAGGAGAAATAAAATACTTTACAGACAAGCAAATGCTGAGAGATTTTGTCACCACCAGGCCTGCCCTAAAAGAACTCCTGAAGGAGGCACTAAACATGGATAGGAACAACTGGTACCAGCCACTGCAAAAACATGCCAAAGTGTAAAGACCCTCAAGGCTAGGAAGAAACTGCATCAACTAATGAGCAAAATAAACAGCTAACATCATAATGACAAGATCAAAGATCAAATTCACACATAACAATATTAACCTTACATGTAAATGGGCTAAATTCTCCAATTAAAAGACACAGACTGGCAAATTGGATAAGGAGTCAAGACCCATCAGTGTGCTGCATTCAGGAAACCCAGCTCACGTGCAGAGACACAAATTGACTTTTCAAAATATCCTGAAATCTCCACAAATGCATTGCCAACAAACAAAAAAGAGGTACTTAGCCTGGGCTCACATAGAGTGTACTCAGTATCTTAACCCGAGATTTCAGAATGGGATTTGTTTATATTCAGAGATAAATTTGACAAAGTAGCAGAAAAAGAAATCTTTATAGAGGAATCACTTGCTCAAAAGTGCCCATATGCCAGTGCTCCTGAAAACCTTGTGTAGAATAACTTACACTGAAGACCCTATAGGAAAAATAGAATTGAAGGAATAGGATCAGAAGTGTTAGTATGGGAGCCTCATAAATACATTTTATTTTCATAAAACTAAAAGAAAGTCAATACTCATTATAAAGAAAACATTTATATTATACTATCTTATCTAGTACTGGTTAGTAATGTACAATTAGTTTGTATTTGTCGTCTCTTATCTGCACTTTTAAAAAGAGCAAGATGATTTTGTAAATTGGTTTTACTCTGTTACAGTTAATAAGGTTGTGAGAGTCTGAAAATAGTCTAAAAAATCTAAAAATAGATGTCCCCTAAATAAAGGTTAAATGAGTGAAATTAATAAATGAGCCTCCATTCAAATGCACAATGCTTTTCTGAGTTTTTAACTCCAAGATCCTAACTGCTCCCCATAAACATATATTGAAACAAAGCACAGATCAGCCAATCTCTAGGCACAGCTTAGCTCCCTCCCACCTAACAGACACAGGATTGTAGTTCTAAAGGGCATCTTGACTTTCCCTCATCTTCTTTTGTCTCATCTAGAAATGTCATTTCCAAAACCTTTACTCATACTTTGCCTTTTGTTTATCTCCCTTCTCGAATCACAGTTTACCAGCTTCATTTTCTAATATTCTAACACTGTGACTCAAAATTATCCTATGCTGAATCAAATTATCAACATTATAGAAAAAGCATAAAGATATAAAACCATTTATAGTCTATTAAAATTCTTCCTACAAGTTAATCACAAACAGAGAAGATGTAAGTTTAACTACTATATAGAAATTAAAATCTTTGTAGATTTTTTTTAAAGAAACTTCGAAAATTCAGTTTATCTTCCCATATCCTGACTGACTCATTTGTGCCTTCTCTTAACAGGTGTGTTCTCAGGGAACAAACACTAATTGCAATTTGGCCAGACATAATTAAAATAGCAATTACTCCCCGCCCTCCCATACAATATATAATGTATTTTTAATTGATTTTGGATTACATATGCCACTGATTTTCCTTTAAGTAGATAATGTGGAGGTAAGTTTATATAGTAGCATAAGAGGAGAAGTGAGTGTTTAATATTTAGACACAGACTTAATGATTTGAAGAAAGTTTTCTCTCCTATTTGCTCACTATGGCACAGATTTGTTCTTTGCCCCTACCAGTAAGCAGATCCTAATTCTTAAATTTAAAAAGCAGCTTGATTAGCGCTCAGATTCAAAAATAAGACTTAGACATTGTGACATCTGCTTTGCTTGTTTCTTAAATCAATTGCTCTGGAGGAAGCCAGCTGCCATGTCTGCAAGACACTCAAGCAGCCTGAAGGAGAGGCCCATATGGCAAAGAACTATGACTTCTTCAAAACAACCAGCATTATCTTGCCAGGTATGTGAGTGAGCCACCATGGAAGTGGCTAGTGCAGCCCCAGTAAAGTCTACGTAACTGCAGCCTCACCTGACATCTTGACTACAATTTCATAAGAAACCCTGAGCTAAAGCCTTTGAACTATTTCATTCCCAAATTCCTGACCCACAGAAACTGAGATTTAAAGGTTTTTGTTTAAGCTGTGAGGTTAAGGGCAGCATAGCCACAGTTAACAAATAAAGATTTTGTTTGATGTAAAACTATCAACTATTCTGTTACCTGTCTTTTGTCCTTAGTGTCCTGTCTTTTGTCCTCCTAGACTTTAGCCTTCCTCTCCACACCATCCTGATGTGGGAGTGCATATGAGAATATGTATCTCTGACACTAGGGGGATTCCATTTGCTTTGTTCCCTTCCTCACTGTTTTTGACCATTCCAAAACAAGAGCTTCACACAAATCTAAATCTCTACATTTTTATGCTGCTATATTCCTCCTGATAATATACGTCCAAATCCCTTATTGTCAAAAAAGCTCATAAAAATATTCCCAAGGAATTCCACTGTTTATGAATTATATCAGAATAATATTCCTCAAAATAGTTGTCTGCATTTTAAGGTTATGCATAGCTTTATCCCATACATAAGAATAACGAACAGCCACAAGAAATAAGAAAAGTTCATTGGATGAAAGGAAAAATCCTTTCTGCTCAATCTAATAAATCCCCAAATTCTTTTAGACAGGGACCTTGGGTTATTACATTTTCTTCTTCAGATAGCTCCTTTGTGCAGCCTTGAAGAAGGGAAATAAATCAGTTAACTGAATGGGTATTTAATCTCTTTCTAAGTTCAAGAAAAAGAGGAGATTAGGATTCATGGTTACTTCACTGAAAAGCTCTTGGCCATATAAATTTGTAATTTCCTGGGGATGGTGCCATTTAGGTATTATTAGATGAAAATAGGTAAGTCAACTAATAAAAGGTGGCTTTAAAAACTTTTAATTTCAGAAGCGAAATACTATCTTCATTAAATTTCTTATTTCAGTTATTAATTAAGCAAAAATTATACTACATAAAATAAGTGTATTTTTTCTCAGTTTATTAGTTTTCTTCTACCACTAATTTACCAGCAGTTCAATCACACCAGAGGAAAGGTGGTATCTCATCTTTCCCTGTATCATTAGAGCTTACATTCAGTTTTGAGTCCATGAAAATAGATGATAAAATAACGAAAAACTTTTGGCTCTTTTAGGAGGAACATCTATATTTATGTATCACATACCCAGGTGATGAGGGTAGCAAGCAGGTGCCAAGCTCACAAAGATGCTCAGAGTAAATAAGAGCAAAAAGAGTGAGGAATTAACTGTAAGAGATTGCATTACCTAGGCCCTTTTATCAGATGTTAACTGATGGATGTGGAACATGTGGTCATTTTCACAGGAGGCCGCACTTGCCAGTTATTCCCCTATTACTGACTCCATGAATCAACTTAATGAGAGAATATAGAGTTTAGAATTTCATTAAATGCCACTGCACAGCACTTCTGAACATGCCCTATTACCCACTTAAACTGTGCTTAGGCTCACTTTCTCTCCTTCCTTTTCCTTCCCCAAAGAGAATAACAATACCACCTCCTTTTTCTCCCCTTTTAACTCTGCTGCTATTTACTCTTTTACTAATCAGTCTTTGTAAGATCTATAATCATTTTTATGCTTCTCTCATCCCCTAACGAATCTATTACTCAGAAATCAAGAGACTCATAAAAGCAAATAATTTTGGTACTTTGCATATGTTGAAGTTTCATTCAATAACTTGTCATTTTTGAAAAATATATATATATTTTCCTTATTAGCAAGCCAGCAATGTTTTAACCTACTTTCCATCACTAATACTTCTTTGCTTTTGAGAAATGCTAATATCCAATGAAATTAAACCAAGCCAGCCTGTCTTTTAAGATTTTTTTTTCCTTTCACTCATGAAATCCATAATACTAAAGCTGATTGCCTGGCTGACTCCATTATTAGATAACCCCAAAATGTCAAATGATACTGTTTAAATTAGGAGAGCAAAGCAGAATTACTAGTCATACACAGGAAAATTGTGAACCATTATAAAATCAGTTGAAAGAAGAAAAGACACTTAACAGGAATTTAGCAGTTTGAAATTAATAATCAGGTTTTAGCTCCTATATTCACCTTTTCCTCCCACTTTATTTCTGTTTGGAAACTGCAAGCCAATCCATTCAAAAGAGGCAATTAAATTCTCTTGACACCATGAACTTTCCTGCAGTGGGGTTATGACACTGTGGGCAACTAGGTAGCTCAATATAGGTCATTCAAAATATAATCAGCTTCCTTCTATTTTCCTCCAAGAGACAGTGAGTGCACAAAGCTAATCACTAACATTGCTTGATTGGGATTTTGTTCATTTATTTGTGATTCAGAAATCCTCTGAAGGCACATTTTCATTCTCATTAACTTTATTTGGAAAAAGAAAGTTTATTCTGTTGTTTCTATTCACTGTGAGTGAGGAAAAACTCATGTAAACAGATCTTAAAAGCAGAATTTTATCATTAGTGCTACACTACTACTAAGATTGTGGGATATTTTCAGAGGAAAAAAAATGTTCTAATCAAAACTACTGCTCATTCGAAAGAGTAATGTCACATTGGACATATTCTATTCCAGGTGGTTCTAAAAATGCCTGCACTATAACTGGCCCAGCTAATAATAGAAAGTAAATTAAAGAAGTAAGCCTCAAGAGTTTACTGACTATGCAGCCATGACTAAGTGCAATTTTGCACCCGAAATAGTTCTTCTAAACAATAGAAATTGTTAACATGGGAAAAAAGAAGTTGGCAAGATAAAATGCCTTAAAAATGTGGCTTCAAAGAAGCCATAAATTTTCCAAGGGAGCTACTCTATAGTCATTTGTTTTCTGGCAATGCTCCCACACAGTGAACATCCTTTTACAGTCACCAAATTAAGGAACTTTGTAATGTGAATTTTGGCATTTTACATTCTTTAGATATGAAGTAGTTGATTCTCTGAAGAAATTTAATGTTTGTGATGGGGTAGGGGAGTGGAATTTGATTCAAACTTCACCCTATCTGGAGAATTTTCCAAATTCCTCTACTCAGGGTTACTTTCCCACTTCTTTAGACTTCCTTAGCATATTTCTCAAATTTCTTTGAACATGTTCCTAATGCTGTATAATTAGTAATTTGCTAGTTTGCCTTCTCCATTCAATAGATGCTCAGCTCTTTAGGTGCAAGAAGCAGGTATTAATCAATTTTGTATTTCCAGAGCCTGATTCCATATGTAGCAATTATTAAATTCAATAACATGAGTAACATATCACATATCATGACACATAATGTAGTAGAAATTCCCAAAGAACGCCTTTTTTTATTCTATGTCAAAAATATTGTCTTACATATGATTCTAAGACATGGATTTCTAAAAATTATTCTCTAAGATAGTTATGTTTACCAATGAATTAACTTCAAGTGGTAGTATAGTAATTCAGCTGGACCAACATAAAATTCAAGGGAATGGCTCATGATAAGGCTAAATTTTTATCTCACGTTTAAAGATTTTACTTTGCTGAATCAAAACCACAATGAGATACCATCTCACACCAGTTAGAATGGCAATCATTAAAAAGTTAGCAAACAACAGGTGCTGGAGAGGATGTGGAGAAATAGGAACACTTTTACACTGTTGGTGGGACTGTAAACTAGTTCAACCATTGTGGAAGTCAGTGTGGCGATTCCTCAGGGATCTAGAACTAGAAATACCATTTGAGGCAGACATCCCATTACGGGGTATATACCCAAAGGACTATAAATCATGCTGCTATAAAGACACATGCACACGTATGTTTATTGCGGCACTATTCACAATAGCAAAGACTTGGAACCAACCCAAATGTCCAACAATGATAGACTGGATGAAGAAAATGTGGCACATATACACCATGGAATACTATGCAGCCATGAAAAATGATGAGTTCATGTCCTTTGTAGGGACATGGATGAAATTGGAAATCATCATTCTCAGTAAACTATCGCAAGAACAAAAAACCAAACACCACATATTCTCACCCATAGGTGGGAATTGAAGAATGAGAACACACGGACACAGGAAGGGGAACATCACACTCTGGGGACTGTTGTGGGGTTGGGGGAGGAGGGAGGGATAGCATTAGGAGATATACCTAATGCTAATTGACGAGTTAATGGGTGCAGCACACCAGCATGGCACATGTATACATATGTAACTAACCTGCACATTGTGCACATGTACCCTAAAACTTAAAGTATAATAATAATAAAATAAAATAAAAAAAGAAAAAAAAATTCAGACCAGAGAAAAAGCAATGATATGAACCCATTCTGTTTTTATGATTACCTGTATCATCTTGCTACTTAAGGCACTGATCATTTAGTAAAATTAGGCAAGAAGAGAATAATAGAAAGGAATGTATTTAAAAAAAAAAAGATTTTACTTTGCTGAAACTACAAATATTCAATATGTGAACTATTGTTCTCTTATGTCAATGTTAGAAATATATCAAATATTTATTTCTATTTGATATGTAAGGATAATTCTCAATAGAGATTTCTGAGTTTTGATTTATAACCATAAGGATTATGACCAGGGCTGTAAGAGCCTAAACTAATATTTATACATTTTTTTCTGTCTAACATGTACACTGCAAATGATTCAAGGTAAATGGAAATGATTTGCAAATTGCAAAATACCCCACTGCTGGGCCCTCAAAATAGGACAAAAGAGCTAAGTTTTAAGTCCCTGAAACTGGACATGAGTAACAAAGTTTCAGATACCACATCCCGGGAAGTAATCAGCTATAAGAGTTGATCTATCACTTCAATTCATCTCACATGTATTGCTATAGATCTTCCACTGAAAATACAGCATATTGGTCTGAGTTACTGCAGTTGTGAGCCCTTGCTTTTCATGAAAAAATGGCTAACAATCTAGAAACCATTGTAACGTCTCTAGGGAAATCAACAAGATCCCAGCTGTGAGAAAAAGTAATCTATACATGATGTAAAGAAGAATAAATATTGTTAATGGTGTGTCAGGTAAGGTTTGGTACTAAGTTAGGGATCATCAATATACAATGAATAAGAGATCTATGGTATTGTTTAATTACAAGTGAAAAACAGAACTCACAATATTTTATCAATCAATGACTTTCTAATCAATAGAAATATACCACTTGCTCTATTAAATTGGAAGCTAGTGAAAATGTTTTAAAAGACCAAAGAAAAGTGAAGATTTTTAAGGATCTAAGCCAGAATAGGAATGATCTAATGTCATTAATTAGTGCATGTATCCAAAATTTCTAACTTTCACAAATTAAAAAATCATGTATCAAATAAAAAATGAAAAGAAATAGAAATATTTTACAGAGCAGTTTTCTCAGTGGTTTATTTTTAAGCCTGAAAAATATCTCACTATGAAGTGGTAAATGAGTTTTAAATTTTCTTTATTTGGTTTTTGAGAATTTAAACTTCTAGAAGAAAAGTGTAGCTCTTCCTTTGGTTCAAATAACTTGATTGTGATCACACAGCAATAACCCAAAAGTAAAATTCAATGCAGGACAGGAGCTCATTAATAATTTCTCCTCTCCTGTACTTCAGAGTGGAAAAAAAAGATGAGAAATTATACACTCATGCTTTTCTGATTCAAGACGTGTATGACATTAAAAATGAAAAGAAGCAATAAAGACCAGTCCCTTAATTATAAATGTTATTAAAACATTTTGAGATTGTTGGATAGGTATAGATTTCTGGGGTTAGCATGAGGTCTTTTTCAATAAAAAGTTTGTGTTCTTATTTTACTGTAAAGTAAAGCTGGAATGTTGAAATTTCTTTGAATGTTTAACTTTTTAGGTTATTAAAATTATGCATTTTCAAATATATGTGTCATAGATACTTCTAATTCTCATATGTGTTGCTTGTATATGATTTTATATCATCTATCTTTAATGGTTGACATATATTTTATATGTATATATTTATTTTATGTGTTTGCATTGAGTACATTCTATACTTGGATACATGTGTTACAGGTATTTAATTGTATATTTTATTACAGATATTTAAATAATTATTTAATTATATATTTTTAGAATGTGTCTGTCTTACTCACCATCATTACTCTTAACATTTATACTTCATAGATTTACTTTGTCTCCTACCATTTTCTCCTTATACTCAATCCAGGTTTTACTCTATTGTTCCACTGAAGATGTTGTTTGCAAATTCATCCTACACGTTATGTCTAACCACTGGTTATTCCTTCTTACTTAAAATGCTTATTTCATCTGCTATCAAGAGACCACCATACTTGTTGTTATTGTTTCCCTCCTCACTGGGCACTCCTTCTCAGTGTCCTGTGTAGGAAACTCCACCTCTTCCTGATCTCTAAATTTGAGATGGCCCAGAGCTTGGTTCTCGAACCCTGTCGAACCCTGTCAGTTTTCTATCTCTATTTTATCTCCAGATGATCCCATTCAATCGTGGCTTTTAATACCACCTATAGTTGCATAGCAAATGTAAATCTCCTACCTTGACCTATCATCTGAATTTTAGACTAAAATAAAAGAAATATTTACATAGCATTTACATTTCGTTTCTAAAGGCATCTCAAATTCCATATATCCAAAACTTAATTTCCTTGTCCTGTGTTCCAAATTTTAGTAAATTATGCTATTAATTATCAGTTCCTCTCCTGTGTCATATAATTCACACTCAATCTATTAGCACAGCCTATTGGCTCTAATAAACCCATATTTGACTGCATATCAATAAATTACCTTCTCGATAGGCCCACATTGACTACTTGTCCTGCAAGAGTTCCAGGGATCTTAAGATCCAATTTCAGTATAAAGAACATTAATTTGGGGGAACACTTGTGTTGAATTGCCAACTGAGGACTGATTCAGGTCACAGAGCCCGGACCTCTATAATGGGATTACCTCCTTTTGAAGGTGTGAGCTACAGACAGTCACCACCTGTTTCTCTCCTCATTTCCCTCTTTTGCCACCTTATCCCACATGTGAAAAAAAAAAATAAATGAGTGGCACAAACCTAACACATGAGTATAACAGGTTTTAGGATACAAAATTAACACATAATAATCTTCTGCTTTCTTATATGCCAGCAGTAAACAACTATAATTTAAAAAATTATTTAAAATCATCATTTACAATAGCACCTAAAAATATGTCATACTTAGGTATAAATATAACCAAATACAGGACCAATGTACTGAAAATTACAAAACACTAATACAAAAAAATCATAGAAAACCTAAGGAAAGGGAAAGATATCCCATAATCCTAGGTTGGAAGACTCTTGTAAATGGGACTGAAACAATTGTCATCCATATGCAAACAATATAATAAAACAAACCTAGACAAATAATTTACACCTTTAACAAAAATGATCTCAAAATGGATCCTAACACTAAATATAAAATGGAAAACTATTAAAATTCTAGAAGAAAACATAGGAACAAATCTATGTAACTAGAACTATTGACGATTTTTACATGTAATACAAAAAGCACAATATATAAAAGAAATAATTGATAAGTTGGGTTCCACTAAAATGAAAAATTTCTGCTCTGTGAAGTGCAATGTAATGAGAAGGAAAAGAAAGGCCAGTGACTGGGAGAAAATATTTGCTAAACACATCTAACAAATGTATCCAAAATACACAAAGAACTCTTAAAACTCCACAATAAACACACAGAGTAATTAAAGAGCAGGTGAAATATCTAAAAGATCTGAAAGACATCTCACAAAAGATATAAAATGGTAAATAAGCATATGGAAAGATGCCCAACATAATTTGACATTAGAGTTGCGAATTAAAACAACGAGATACCACTACCCACCTACTGAAATGCCTAAAATCTAAAAAACTAACAAAACCAATTGCTGGTAATGATGTGGAGCAACAAGAATTCTCATTCGTTGCTGGTGAAAATTCAAAATGATAGAACCGTTTTGAAAGACAGTTTGGCAATTTCTTATAAGCCAAACATAGTTTTACCATAATATCTAGCAATCATATGCCTAGGTATTTACCCGATTTATTTAGAAACTTAAGTCAACAAAAAAACCTGCATGTTTATAGCATTTTTGGTCCTAATAGTAAAAACTCTAGCAACCAAAATTTCTTTAGTAGAAGGATAAACATATTATGGTACATACATGCAATGAAAAATTATTCAGTGGTAAAAAGAAAGGAGCCACCAAAAAAAACTACAAAAAATGGATGAATTTTATATGCATATTGCTAAGTTAAAGAAGCCAGTCTGAAAAAGCTACATATCATTAAGATTCCAATTATACATTCTGAAAAAGATAAAACAATAGAGATTGAGGAGGGAAAATGTTTAATAGGTGAAGCAAAGAGGAGTTTTCAGGGCAGAGAAAATATTTCATATGATAATGTAGTTATGAATACATGAAACTGTGCATTTTTCAGAAGCCATAGAATTTTACAGAGCAAAGCATGAGCCTTAATGTATGCAAATTTAAAAATTATAATGAAGATACAGAATCTCTGGATGGAAAGTAGACTGACAAAACAATCTAATTCTATTAAAAATATGTGAAACCATCTCATTGAAAAGGGTGAAGGTATAAGTTGTTTACCTAAGTAATTTTGGAAAACAGTAGAATCTGTAAGACTAAAGGCATAAAATGCAGTGCACAGGCACTATACTTTAGTTGATGGTTGTTTCTCTTGGTGATATGGGTAGAAATTCTGATACATTTATAGTGAAATTGAATAGTCAAGAAAATGGAGGGAACCAGGTTTTCTCACTGTTTTGAAAAGGAGATTACAGACAAGCAAGGACTAAAGTCTCCAATGACCCATTAGGCAATGGATTAGAGTTGGAGAGATCAGAATGAACTTATGTTTAGATAAATATAGGTGCAGATAATTATACAGAATATTTATAAATATGTATATATACATTGGTTAGTATACACCCATGTATCCCCTTGCTCTGCCAGCTAAGAGGGCCTAGAAACAATAGCACCTTGGAAAGGAACATAATTGTGCCCATATATTGGTTTCTAATAGCATTAACCAATAAACAAAGCTCTTTAAATAAATGGCTGGTTCTAGGACCAGGGCAGCCTGGATTTTATTGTAGTGTCAGAAAGTAAAGAAGGGCTTTGGAAGAAAACAAAATAAAACAAAACATGCAATGATGGGGATGTCTGCCAAGGAGACACAAGAGACAACTGAAAGAACCCTCAAGTGCCAAAACTGCAACAATTTGAGCAAGACAGTAAATGAAATTGTATTGGATTATAAAACAAAGTATAAAATAAATATCTAAGGGTCAGTAGTGACATAACTAAACGTTGTAAAAACTAATAAATGGGAGATAAGGTCTTCCATTCAGAAGAATCCCAAATAATTTATGTAGATTCTCCACCCTCAAGGAACTGAAGCATAATTTTCTATTCCTCTGTGGGAGCTACAAATATTGACTTTCTTTCTTCCAAAGAGTACAGTATGGATGGGGAACAAGGGTTATTTTAGTGGAGAAACCTGACTATACATAAACACTATATCTACCATGTGATCAAGTTTAACATCATCGTGGTATAATGTTCATAGTATGTACCCCCAAAATAATGGGATGAAAATAGCACTTTACCTCTGTGATCTTCTTCCCCAAAACACATAATTCCAGTGTAAGAGACAAGACCCAACTGAGGTATGTTCCACAAAATACTTCAACTGTACTTCTCACACCCCTCAAACCATTGAAAATAAGGAACCTGAAAAACTTGAAACAGCCAAGGGCAACTAAAAAGAAATGAAAACTAAATGCAATATGGTAACCTGGATGGAATCCAGCAACAGGAAAAGGATATTAGGTATAAACTAAGGAAATCTTAAAGTACTGACTTTACTTACTAATGACGCATCAGCCTTGGTTCATTAATTGTAATAAATGTATAATACTAATGTAAGCTTTTAATAATAGTGGAAACTGGAAGGTAGGGTATATAGGAATATTTTGTACTGAAGCAGCATCCTCGTCTGGGGTGAATACCCGAGGTTCATCATCTCACGCCAAAAGAATCGAGGATACGGACACACAAGAAGTGAGTTTAAGGGCGGAGGTTTAATAAGCAAAAACAAAAAAAAAAAAAAAAAAGAGAGAGAGAGAATAGCTCTCTCTCCTGCAGACAGAGAGTGGGGGATCCCGAGTGTGTCTTCCAGTATGAGATGAAGTGCAAGGGGTTTTATAGACTAACTTGAGGGGGCAGTGTCTGTTTTACGATGGGCCCAAAGATTGGTTGGACCAGGTGTGCTATTTGCATAGTGCACAAAGAAGCTGGCCACCCCACCCTAATCTTTAATTATGCAAATGGGTTCTCTACCTGACTGGAGCCATGTTGTCTGTTCCTTACTGTACAAGTGGTTGACAAAGAAAAGGGAAGATGCAGCCGCCATGTTTAATATGCTTTACCCCCAGATAACATTTTCCTATTGACACAGCTACTGGCATTCACCCATGCAAGCTTCCAGCTTGCTTATCTATGTCTGCAGCTCGATTTTACAGGCTACTTTTAGTTAGAAAAGTAATGATTTGGAGGCTGTTTCTATTAAAAGGAAAACATTACTGAGGACTCTCTTACCCTCACTAGCTGCCTAAATAATTTCTTTTTAACTCCTATATCAGTACTATCTTCACAATTTTTCTGTGTTCCAAAACTGTACTTTTTGTAACCTAAAATTGTTCTAAAATGAAAAGGTTACTTTAGCAAAAAAGATTAATATTATGGGATAAAAACAATGTACTTAACTAAAAACTTACACAGAACAACTTATAAGTCACATGTGTGGAGCTCGAATAAAACTTGCAGCCTGACTAACATGGAGAAACCCTGTCTCTACTAAAAATACAAAATTAGCTGGGCATGGTGGCACATGCCTGTAATCCCAACTACTTGGGAGGCTGAGGCAGGAGAATTGCTTGAACCCAGGAGGAAGAAGTTGCCGTGAGCTGAGATTGCACCATTGCACTCCAGCCTGGGCAACAAGAGCTAAACTCCATCTCAAAAATAAAAACAAACAAACAAACAAACAAAAAACACCTTTCAGTTCTTCCTCAGTAAAATGTTGATTAAGACAGTCTACTTTTGTTCAGGCTGGTGTCACCCAGGATCTGCCAGACTTTAGTGTTTCCCGAGCTCCGCTTGCCTCACAGTCGTCTACGTAGGATCATATTGTTTCCTTGTGCCACTGTCTATGGCCTTCATCCAAACATACAGAAAATAAAGCTATGATTCTTAGCATTCTACCCTGGCAACCACATCCAACTCTACACTTTGAACCTGAACAATGATGCCTGGTTACAAGGGCAAACGGAGGTGAAAAGTCAGCCAAGCTTTGTACCCATGCTTGGTGCTATATCTCCCTCATAGAATGGGGTACGAATTCCTAACTGATACAAAGGCACCATGTTGGCAGCCATGTTGGCTAGTGGTGGCTCCATACTATCTAAGAGAACATAGTTTGAAAAATTATAGTTTTTTTTTGCTTTGTTAGACACAAATGATCACTGCTTAATGTTGCATATCTGCTCTCAAATCGACCACACTGCTTCCTCTCCCGTTTAATCTTTTTAAACGTTTAAGAAATTTCATATGTTAAAAAAAATGTAAAATACGTTTCTCAACAATAAACAATAATAACAAATTTAACAACTCACTAACCAGTATAAGAAACCAAAATGTACTAATAGTCTTGAAAACCACTGTGTGCCATTGCCAGTAGAATTTCTTTTCTCTTAACAGAAGAAACTGCTGTCCTGAATGTTCTGTTTCTCATTCACATGATTGTTTTAAGAGATACATTGCTATAAATGTGTATATGATTAATGTATTGCTTTCTCTATCTGCACATTGTAAATTTTATCCTACTCACTATATTATTTTGCAAGTGGCTTTATTTTGATATATTGTTTCTGAGGTACTTGATTTTTAGTAAGTATAGCAGTCAATTTTTGTGTACTACTTAGTCGTATTCCATTGTATAATTTTACCCCAATTTTTTAATCCAATCTCCTATCAATGGGTATTTTTCTCTATCATACTTTTTTTCCTTACCAAAGTTATTGTGAAATTTATTTTGCATTTCTTGGAGCATATGTGCAAAAATTTCTATTAAGACATGCTTGTGAATGGAATTATGACATCCTATGCTGGGAATACTTTTAATTTTATTACATGATAGCAAATTTTGTTCCAAAAGGCTTTGGAAAGTTATAGGAAATTCACTAAGTTTTGCCAACATTATTAGACTCAGCCTTCTTAATTTTGCCAGTAAGGTATGTATAAAATGGCATTTCATTGTGATTTCCCAAATTACTAAGAGGCTAAGAATATTTATATTTGTTTATTGGACATCTGATAATGGAATATCTGTTCCTAATTTTGACCTATTTTTATTGGGTTTTTTGGTTCTTATTTATCATTAATAGAAAAAATACATATGTATATATGCATATATTATTTTAACTGTGGATAAGTATACTATATATACATATATATTAGATGCTACTATCTGTTAGTTACATGCATTAAAAATTTCTTCTTCAAATTTTGGCTTGTCTTATCACTCTTTCAATACTGTCTTTTGATTAAAAGAAAATACTCTTTTTCATGTTAATTTATCGAATTTTTCGTTTATAGTTTGTGCTGCTTGTGTTTTATTAAAAATACTTTCCTACCATGGTATCATAAAGAAATTTTCCTTTGCTATTTTCTACAATTTACATTGTCTTGATATTCCTATTTAAGTCTTTTATCTGTGTGGAATTGATATCTTTTGATGTAATTTAATATAATCAATTGCCCTGATACCATTTATTAAGGAAATATCTTTCTCCACATTTGTCATACCTAGGTTAGATTTATTGTTCTAGGATCACTATTCTGATCTTTTATCTCATACATCCGTGCTTATAATACTTCATTGTCTTAGTTTACCTTTAAAATAAATCTACATAGCTAAGCTCCTAAAGTTAATTTTTTTCAGATGTATCTTGACAATTCTTTTGCTCTTCTATAAAATTTCAAGATTTAACATTATTATAATATTCCAAAAATGATTAAAATATAATAAGTACTAAGCATTCTCAAGGTCAAAGTTGGCCTTGGTAGACATTTTCTCCTTGAATTGGCCTATGTTCCTCTTCCTTATCTTCCCCCTCAAAAGTGCTTTTAAACTCCAACAGACTGCAGTTTCTTATCTATGATTTGTGCTATCTGATGACATTCTCTTTATCTTAAACTATTTTTAGTCTCTTTTTGTGATTAGGGAATATCTGGAGTTGATTGTTTAAGCCTTCCTCTTATAGCTGAGACTGTCTTTTAACCTTCTTGAATTTCACGTTGGATTTATCTAAATGTTGTGTCTGTGTTATCTATGATGTGTGGATGTAAGCCAAAGCAGATGATATGTGTGAATCTAAGTATGTCTTTTGTGTCCAGTGTTAAGGTATATAAAACCAAAGAAGTGTTTTCAATTACTAATAGCTGAGCCAAATGTATTAAAACATGTCAACATTCAAAAATAAGATATTACCCGGGATTGCTAAAGAAAAATACCTTCAAATTAGGATGGAAACACACCCATTGCTGATTATGGTTTATAGATTGGTTTTGTAACAGGAGAGGGCTGAACAGAAAAAAGACCATGAAAATATTGCTACTTGATAAAGGGTTTCACTTTTTGGCTGTATTTGAGGTATTAGATCTCAAGCTCTCTTAAGACTAGAAAATATCATAAAGCTTGTTAAGTTTCCTAAGATTCTTTGAGCTAAACTTTTCTCTGCTTTTACTATGTTACTCTCAGACCTAAGGGAAGCTACAAAAGAGGCAGGAGTGCGGAAACAGAAGAAACAATAGCAGTATTCTAGGAATGTGTGATACATTAAATATGTGCATAATTTATTTAATGACAGGAAATAAAAAAAGGTGTTAATTATTTTTCATGACTTAATTTGAGCATTTTTTTCGCGTTTATGATGCAAAGAAAGTTCAGCTTTGAAAATTAATGTTATCTATTTCAGAAACACACACACACAGAGATCAAAGCACTGTTCTACTATTCATGAAGTTTTAATGTGGAGTGTCTGTCTCAACAGATGTTTGTCGATTTTATTGATCTTATCATCAGTATTTGTATCATTTTTATTATACTTTTTTCATTTTTATTCATTTTACTCTTTACTATTTTCTTCTACTTTACATTCAATTTGCTGTTACTGTTTTAGTTGAGATGAATGTCTAGCTTATGAATTTTTAAACTTTTCTTTTTCTAAAATATACAAATAGTAATATAAATTCCACTATATACACACTTTAGCTACATTCCAGAAGTTTTGATATATTGAATATTTTATAGATTCAATTCAAAATAGTTTGATATTGCTAAATTTATCACTTCCTCCCTGAGGTATGTGTTATTTATAAGTTTGTTTACTTGTTTCTAAACATATGGGTATTTAAAAATATCCTTTTGCTATTAATTTTTAGCTTAAATGCTCTATGGTTAGCAAATATAATTTAAATCATTTGCATTATATTGAGTCTGCTTTCTGACCCAAGATATAATTAATTTCACAAAACTTCTATGTGTATTTAATGAGTGGTCTACAATTGAGGGTGCAAAGTTGCATACAAGTCAATTACATTGAGATTGTTTCAATGTAATGGTCAAGTTTTCAATATTTTGATATGTCTACATGTTCAGTAAGTTCCTGAGAAAGGTGGTTAAATTCACCCACAACGATTATGTTTTTCTATCGTCTTTTTAGTCTATAAATTTTTATTTCATAAATTTCTAGGCTATGCAATTAGATAAATAAAGCTTTAGAAAATTATACTTTCATGGTGAACTTAATTAGTGATCATTATTAAATGTTCCTCTTTATCTCTGGTAGTGTTTTTGCCATAAAGTCTATTTTTTTCTAATATTAATACAGCAACACTAGTTTCTTTTGGTTCGTGTTTCACCGTATAACTTTTTCATCCTTTTATTTACAAGCTGTTTATATAGTAAACGTGTCTCTTATAAACACAACAGAAATGCTTTTTTTTTTTTTTTTGAGACCGAGTTTCGCTCTTATTGCCCAGGCTGGAGGGCAATGGCGGATCTCGGTTCACCGCAACCTCTGCCTCCCGGGTTCAAGTGATTCTCCTGCCTCAGCCTTCCGAGTAGCTGGGATTACAGGTATGCACCATCACGCCCAGCTTATTTTGTATTTTTAGTAGAGACAGGGTTTCTCCATGTGGGTCAGTCTGGTCTCGAACTCCTGACCTCAGGTGACCCGCCTGCCTCAGTCTCCCAAAGTGCTGGGATTACAGGCGTGAACCACAGTGCCTGGCCAAATGCAGTTTTTGAATTATATTTTCAGGGAATTGATAGAAACTACCTGGAGTAAAATGAACTTTTCAAATTCATTCATCTTATTTATTAATAAACATTAGGGACTATTCATGTGGCACACACTACATTCCTAAAATGTAATGAACTGTTTATCACATTTGTTTTTACAACTTTGAATTTTATTTAGTCTTCAATCAGTTTTTACTTTTAGGAAAACAAATTTGCCTCATTAGCTCATTTTACAACTTTGATAGTTCTTAATTATTTTGCCTTTACTGATCTACGCAGAACATTAAATTCATCACTGTGTCTATATGCTATAGTGGTGGCAGTGACTTATAAAGCCAACATAACACAGATTTAGGAGTCAAATTCTGTTTCTCCACTTATTAGTTGTGTGCCCCTGGGCAGATTATTTGACCTCCTTATGTTTTAGTTTTCTCATCTATAAAATGGGGTAGATAATAATAATACCAACTTCATAGGGTTGTTTCAAAGATTAAACAAGCTAACATATAAAAAGTGCTTAGGACACTACTGGACACATAATAAGCACTCTATAAATATTACATAAAGCAAAGATATTGTAATAATACTACAACACTCTCTTAGCTATTAAACCTACTTTCATTAGGTCTTTAAGGATAATTGTTAGAATTCAACATCAACCTTGTTTTCTGGGTCAATTTTCTGCCATGCCTACACATATGGAACTTCTGTCAACACACTTGGATATCTCTGTGCCTTTGTATATCCTGTTGCCCTGGAATGAATATCATATTTTGTCTCTTACGTCTAGGAATTCCTTTTCAACCACCAAGACCCAACTCATTATTAAATTCCCTCTTTAAATTCCTGGATCTGTGTTAGCTGAATAACTGCTATGCACACGTTATTATTGAGCACTTGAAGTGTGGCTAATCCAAACTAAGGTGGACTGGAAGTACAGAATGCATCCCAGATTTCAAAGCCTTAGCTCAAAAAAATAAAAGAAAAGAATATAAACTAGCTCATTAATATTTATATTAATTACAAGTTGAAAGGATATTTTGGATATATTGGATTAAATAAAAGTATTATGAAATGTACTCACCGACTTCTTTCCTTTTGATATCACTATTAGAAAATTTTGAATTACATATATAACTCACATTGTAATTTTATTGAACAGTGCTGGCCTAGACAAATCAGTTTCTTCCCATCTATGTGCTCCCACAGAACCTAATGGACCTAGTTCTATACATCAGATATTATATTTTAATATAATTTTCTTTTACTTTGATGCTCCTCTACCAGATTACTATCCTTTCAGGGGAAGGGTCTGTATTTTATTCATTATTAGATTTCTGACATATCACTGATGTCCTGACCCATAGTGAGTGCTCAATAAATATTTGTAGAAAAATACCGATAACATATTGTATATGTTTCAGTAAAAATTAGTAAAAAAGTTAAGCTCATAATGTGGCTGGAAAAGCAGAACAACCATATGTTATAAATGATTCTATATGCAAAATAATAGCTCCTCAATTATATGTACAGATTGAAGTTAGGATAGAATTCCTTGAAGCCTGTGGAACCAATAAAGTATGACTGTCCCCAAAAAAACTGGCTCATATAAACAGAAAGCACAGAAAAGAGGTACATTCTTGGGCATTCAGCAATAAACCAGAAAGAAATCTCTGGAAACAGTTGGTAACCACCCCATTCTACTACCACCTCTCATTTCTCTCTCAAGAGATATAAAAACATTATTGATTTGTAGACTCTTAGAATAGCATTAGATCCTTTGTTTAAGATAAACAATCTGTGTTCTTTTAATCTTTTCTAAAGCATCGTATTTCCCAAACCTTGTGATCACTATCAATGTAATTCAATTTAACAAGCTTCCTCATATCTACGATACGCTGTGCTAAGTGCTATGGAAGACATACAATAAAGACAGGTGTCTAGCTTCAATAAGTTAATAATACATAATGTGAAATGGACATAAAAACTAACCCTAAACCAAAGCAGATAAAAGAGTGATAGCTTTGCAGTATAAATTAACAACTATAAGCATGCAAGAGAGAAAAGAAGGTGGAGGAAAGAATGGAACAAAGACCTGATACCCTATAATTTGAGGCTCCTAAGACAAAAATAAGCTTTGAAGAGAATCTCTTTAGTAAGGACTTACCTCATTTTATTATGCCTCACTTTATTGTGCTTTGCATATGTTATGTTTTTTACAAATTGATACTTTGTGTCAACTCTGCACTAAGCAAATCTACTGGGGCCATTTTCTTCCAACACCATGTGCTCATTTCCTCTCTCTGTGTCACACTTGTTGGCAATTCTTGCACTGTTTCAGACTTTTTCATTATGATCATATCTGTCATGGTGATCTGTAATTAGTGATCTTTGATGTTCCTAGTACAATTGTTTGGGGGCACCACAAACTGTTCCCACGTAAGATGGCAAACTTAATTGATATGAAGAAATTTTAGTGGTCTGGATAAAAGATCAAACCAGCCAAAATATTCCCTTAAGCCAAAACTTAATCATGGGCAAAGCCCGTACTTTCTTAAATAATATAAAGACTGAGAGAGGTACAGAAGCTGCAGGAGAAAAGTTTGAAGCTAGCAGAGGTTGGTTCCTTAGGCTTCAGGAAATAAGCCATCTCCATAAAATGAAAGGTGAAGCAGTAAGTGCTGATATAGAATCTGCTACAGGTTATCTGCAGATGTTTTTTTCATGTTTTTTCATGTCTGCTAACACAATATCCATTTTGCAGCCCATAAATCAGGAGTAATTTTGACTTCAAGTTTTATGATTTAATAAGAATATTGTGTAATGTTGCAGCTGCCGTAGATAGTTATTCCTCTGATGGATCCGGACAAGGTGAGTTGAAAACCTCTGGAAAGAATTTACCATTCTAGATGCCATTAATAATATTTGTAACTTATGAAAGGAGATCCAAATGTCAACATTAACATGAGTTTTGTAAGTTTATTTCAACCCTTATGGATGACTTTGAGAGGTTCAAGACTTCAATGGAGAAAGTAACTGCAGATGTGGTGGAAATAGCAACAGAACTAGAATTAGAAGTACATCCTTAAGATATTACTGAATTGCTGCAATCTCATGATCAAACTTGAATTGATGAGGAGTTGCTTCTTATGGATGAGCAAAGAAAGGGGTTTACTGAGATAGAATCTACTCATGGCGAAGATGCTGTCATCATTATTGAAATGACAACAAAAGATTTAGAATATTACATAAATTTAGTTGATAAAGCAGTAGCAGGTATTTGAGGGGATTGGCTTCAATTTTGAAAGAACATCTACTGTGAATAAAATGCTATCAAACTGCATCATATGCTACAGAGAAATATTTTGTAAAAGAATCAAAGCATGCAGCAAATTTCATTGTTATCTTATTTTAAGAAATTGCCACAGTTATTCCAAACTTCAGCAACCACCACCCTAATCAGTTGGCAGCTATTAACGTGGAAGCAAGATCCTCCACCAGCAGAGATGATGACTCACTGAAGGCTGAGATGATCATTAGCATTTTTTAGCAACAAAGTATTGTAATTAAGTTCTGCACATTGTTTAGACATAATCCAGTTGTACATGTTATAGACTACAATATAGGGTAAACATAACTTTTATATGTACTGGGAACCAAAAAATATGTGTGACTGCCTTTACTGCAATACTCACTTTATTGCAGTGGTCTGAAACCAAACCAGCAATATCTCTGAGCTATGCCTGTATTTAAAAAATTATTTAAAAATAGAGAAATTTATATCTGAAACACTTCCTTCCTCAAATCACTTTTTGGGATCCTCAGAGTATACATTGGTATCCACTTTGGTGACCTCTCTGCCTTTGTCCTTTGCCAGGTATTCTGACTTCCTAAGAAAAGCCAGTTCTTTTATTAGAAGTCTTGGAAAACAGAACCATTTATAAGAACCAATTACATGTTTAATTTTCAATAGATATTTCTTAACTATAGGACACTATATTTTAAAATGGATTCACACTCATACCCTTCTGCAGGAGAGTTTTGCCTTTGATAAAATAACAAAATAGTATTTTTAGTTTCTCTGATTGGATTGTCAGTTGTCAAAATGACAACTCTTTTAACCTCCCTGATCGCAAATTGAAGGTTTCCACCAACTGCAGTTGCAAAGAAACATATTCAAAACACAGATTGCATACTACAGAGGAGTAAGTGATAGAAAACCTATCGTGTAGGAGTATTCTCTATGTTATATTGTGCTATTTCAAATGTAAATGTCTTTGTGACCTCTCCCTTTATTTTAGCAATATATCATGGCACTATATTTCTAATTTTGCAAAGAAGAGGGGTGATTTCTATAAGAACGCAAGTTTGTGATGGTTTGCTGGTTTTTAAAGAAGGATTACTATGAAATGAATGTTGTGTCTTCTCTAAATTCATATGCTGAAGCCCTAACCCTTAATGTGATAGTATTTGAAGGTAGGGCCTTTTGGAAGTAATTAGGTTTAGAGAAGTTCATTAGGATTGGGCTCCTATGATGGGATTTATGTTTTTAAAAGAAGAAAAAGACAAGATTCTCTCTGTCATGTGAGGACATGAAGAGAAGGCATCTATCTGCAAGCCAGGTAGCAGGATCAGGAATCAAACTTGCCAATACCTTAATTATGGACTTCCCAACCCCCAGAACCGTGAGAAATCAATGTCTGCTTCTTTAAGACACCCAGTCTGTGATATTTTGTTACAGCAACCCAAGCAGACTAATGCAGGGATGTACAAAACCCCGCAAAACAGATGACCCAGCAGAAGAACTCTAACCTTTACTCAACTACATCCCTTTCTCTTTCTTGCAGCAGTAAAGATTCCTGAAGTCAGTTGCCTTAGTGGGCATATATACTAGACTCCTTTCAATGCAGATTGCAATATTATATACCTAAGAATTTAGTTTATGATTTGTCCTGGAAAAGCCCATGTAAAAGTTATACAATGGTTAACATAGCTTCTGTTAAGGATTAGTGTTATAAAGGAGATACAGGGAGGGAGATTGGAGGGTGTTATGGCTCTATTTGACATTGCAACAACTTATGCCAAGTGCTTTGCACAATGCCAAGCAGTAAGTAAGGAGCAAATCAGGGTCCTTTATCTCTTGCACAACAGCTGCCATAACAATGTTGAGGCTACCCTTTCACCTTGCTTATATGCACTCATGGTGTGTGCATGCACAGTAACTTACAACATATACACTGGTATTAAGCCAGCCACTGCTGTTTCAAAGATGATGGAATAACTAGAGTACTGCCCCAGAACAGCTTAGAAAGTCTCAGGTTAATAAGAAAAAAGGAGCTGTAAGGAGAAACATTATGATCTAATACAAATGCTATAAAATTATTTCAAGAAATGCTATAGGTACCAGGAAAGGGCATGAGGCATGTTACATACACTGCTTTGTATTCTAGTGATTGTGAGGATATGATTCCTGTACTGTACCATGACAGCCTCAAAAATAAGCATCATGCTTTATTCATGTATTAATTCAGTGAAATTATATGTAACATTGATCTGGCTGGGTGCTTGGTATGAGTTAAACTATGTCTCTATAATTTAGGAGCACACAGCCTAATAGAGGTGACAGACATAAAAGTTTCTCATTTCAGTACACTGATTGAACATAGAACATTCTCAACATAGGAGACAGAATAATGTAGCATTAGCACTTGCTGAGCATATGAGACAGACACTATTCTATATTTGGTCTTAGCCAAAAGGCAAAGAAGCAATTGAGACAGACACTATTCTAATAGCTTTACCCTGATTCATGTAATGCTCATGACCCTTGAGTAGCTATAATTATTAGCCCCATTTTACCAATGAGAACACCGAGGCAGAGAGAGTTTGCATAGTTTATCTAATGTCACAGATCTAATAAAGAGAAGATCTGGGACTTCATTATTTTTTAAATTGGTCTCAAAAACCACACTTTCAACTATCAAAATGTATTGCCTTTTGTGGCATATTAGTTAACGCTGGCCCTTAATGTCTCGTGGCACAGTTTTCCCCATCTATAAAATAATGATCAAAAATAATACCTTTCTAATAGAGATGTTGTAAGGATTAATTAAAATTATGCATATAATGTCTTTGGAACAGTATCTGGCATGTAGAGTATGTGGCCAATAAGTGTTCATTATTAATAATAAATATTTGTTTAATAGATGAAGAGTTTATCTCAGGAAATCTTTTAAAGAAATAAACATTATCATCTCACCAGGACTACTTGCCTAAGGCTGTGGATCTGGACCAGATACACTCGTAAGTTTTCATCTAGCGCAAAGAAGCTTGTTGAATTGGGAACTTTGGGTGTCATGCAATAACCCAAGCATGAGCACTCAATATGAATGCCCCTGGGCTTTACCCTGTGCAGATTACATCAAGATTAAGTGCCATGTCTCTGCATCTAGAAAATATTATAGGTGCCCTAGCCATTATTTATAGCTTCAGAAAGTTTCCAATGTGATTGTCTATGACAAATACGTCAATTCCAATGCTGTGATTATGCAGGCACCTAGCAGAGAGGGTTATGCAGTGTGTAATATTAGCACCTCTAAAATCCCTTGGGGACACATTTAGAATAGTGAATTCTGTCATCTTGCAATACTTTTTCCACATCAGCTATGCTTCCTGTGCATGAATTCCAGGTAGCAGCAGACACTTTATTCAGAAACAACGCATGTGGACAATAATCCCATTAGTCTTCAAGATAGAGAATGAAAACCAAAAATACATTGGAGTCAAAAATTTATGTTTTGAAGAGTCTAAGTGCTCAGGACGTTGGAACTCAGTTTATTTAATCTTCAAAAAATTAATTACTATGTTCAAATTACCTATTTCTAACACAAAGAAAAAATCTTTCTCTTTCCCGTAAACTATAGCTTCTTTTTTTCTCGTCTTCACTCACCCTTTTTTTTCAATGAATATGTTGAAGTTGTCAGAGATAAAACAGGAGGAAGATTTCCTATAAATGGAACCAACATTAGCATTGGAAATAGCTCCAGCAGCTGCAGAAAGAGATTGATAGCCCTGTAACTCCTATCTGGGTGTCAAGATTAAGGCCATGAGATGAAGGGTCTCATACGAACCTTTGTTATCTGTAACATTTCATATGATCTTTGCTGAAACCAACTGTGCAGCTATAGTCAGTATGTTCCAACATTCTATTTACAGTAATCTTTACTACTGATCTCAATGTGAAGAATATTTACTTGATGATCCAAACTAGAAGGAAAATTAAACCCACCTGATCCAGCTCTTTTTAAATTTCTTATTGTAGTAAAGAAAATGTATCTATCAACCATTCTGAATCATATTGTAGAGCCAGTGATAAAGCTCAGATGTCTCAACTCCTAGCCACTGCTATTTCCAAAATTACATTGCCTCCTTAATTTATTAAACTTTCAACTTTCAACTTGGTAATAAAAAGAGAATAGTTCAAATTATAATAAAAGATAATTATGACACATATC
Organism: Homo sapiens; assembly: GCF_000001405.40. Lineage (NCBI taxonomy): Eukaryota > Metazoa > Chordata > Mammalia > Primates > Hominidae > Homo > Homo sapiens. The sequence continues at coordinate 96,885,174 of NC_000011.10, read as the reverse complement.
AATGTTGCCTTTCAACATGCTAGTTAAATTAATGGAATTGGTATAAACAAGTAACGCCATGGAAATACTTCAAGAAGTTCATAGTCACATATTTGAAACAACAATGTGAATTTTAAAAGGCTGACAAGAATGTTACTAAAAAACATGGAATTGTATAGACTTAAAACCCTTCTGTCAAGAATCAGTGGGATATCCAAAACATCACTCATGCTTGCTGTTGAGAGTGACTTCAGACTTCAATCAGCTTTGTAGGTAATTAGAAGTACTTGACTCTGTCTGCTTACCTTTGGAAGGGAGAGTGAGGAAGAGATAATAAGAAACACTTTGACGACATGACAGGATAGATAGGTGAAAAATAGGGAACCAGAAACCCATATCTTTGATAGCTATTCTCAGCCAAAAAATTTTAAAACCAAATGAAAACTAGACCCCCAAAATCAACCAATGCCTCCACTAACAATATAGCTTTTTACCCTAAAAAATGGAAAAGGAGTGAGAGAATCTGACCAAAACAACTCAAAAGACCGTGGCCTCGGAAAAACTCGTTTCATTAATAATCCCAAATATTAAAAAAGAAACCATAAAAACATGCATTCCTTTTGATGTGAATTAAGAAATTACCCAGAAAGGAGAGAGAAAAAAAAACATTGTGGATGAAAGTACATATTGCAGGATTATATCAATTTAATTTGTAAATGAGGTATAACAGGTACACTGCAAAAATAGGTAAGCATATAGTTCAGTGAATTCTTAACTATATACACATATGATCACCACTCAGATCAAGACATAGATTCCCAGCACCAGAACAGGGCTCTCTTATCTTTAATGTCAATAGCACCAACACCCCCAGCCCCATCATCTCACCCCCAAGTAACCACTCTTCTCACTTCTATCACCATAGATTAGTTTTGTCTGTTTCTGAATTTTGTATAAGTTGAGTAAAATATAATTGTTGTATGATTCTTTTTATTCTACATTATATATGATTTGTAAGATCAGTTATGTATAGTAGAAGTTTTTGGTTTTTTGCGTGGCATTCCATTGTATTAATATACTATAATTTATTCATCTACTCTCTGATGTACATTTGGGTCTCCTCCAGTTTTTCAATATTACATATTAAACTGCTATGAAACTATCTTGTACATGTCTTTTGATTTACGAATGCAACCGTTTCTCTGTAGTGTATATCTAAGAGTGATATTGCTGGTTACATACTTAATTTTTATTATTTTTAATTTACATATAATAATTGTACATGTTTATGAAGTACGGTGTGATATTTTGATACTGTATAAAATGTGTAATGATCCAATAAAGTACTTAGTGTGCCTATCACCTCAAATATTTATCATTTCTTTGTATTAGAAACATTCAAAATCCTCTTTTCTAGCTATTTGAAAATATAAAGTATTGTTAACTATAGGCATGCTACATGGTATAAAACACCAGAACTTATTCCTCCTATCTAGCTGTAATTTTGTATCCATTAGCCAACATCTCTCTATCCTCATTACCCCCTACCCTTCCTAACCTGTAGTTACCACAATTCTACTCTCTACTTCGATGAAATCAATGCATTTAGCTTCCACATATGAGTGAGAACATGCAGTATTTGTCTTTCTGTGCCTGGCTTATTTTACTTAGCAAAATATTCTCCAAGCACATTCATGTTGTCACAAATGACAGAATTTCATTCACTGTAATGGCTAAATCATATTTCATTGTGTAAATACACCACAAATTCTTATGCATTCATCAGTTGATAGACATAGGTTAATTTCATACTTTGGTTATTGTGAATAATGCTGCAATAAACATAATAGTGCAGATATCTCTTCAACATACTTATTTCCTTTCCTTTGCATATATACCCAGTAGTGGGATTGCTGAATAATGTGCTCCAGTTTCTTCAATAAATTATGTTGGGAAAACTAGATATCCATATGCAAAAAAAAAAAAAAAAAGAAACTGGAGCCCTACCTCTCACAATATACCTCCCAAAATATTAACCAAGATAGACTAAAAATTTAAATGTAAGACCTCAAATTATAGAAATCCTAGAAGAAAACCTAGGAAATACCCTTTGAACATCAGCTTCAGCAAAGATTTTATGGCTAAATCCCCATAAGCAATTGCAACAAAAACAAAAATTGACAAGTGGGACTTCTGCACAGCAAATGAAATTATCAACAGAGTAAACAGATAACCCACGGAACAGGAGAAAACATTCACGAACTATGCATCTGACAAAGGTCTAATATCCAGAATCTACAAAGAACTTAAACAAATCAACAAGCAAAAAACAACCCCATTTTAAAAAATGGGCAAAGGACATGAACAGACACTTCTCAAAAGAAGACATTCAACTAGCTGATAAACATATGAAGAAATGCTCCATATCACTAGCCATTAGGGAAATGCAAATCAAAACCACAGTGAGATACTGTCTCACACCAGACAGAATGGCTATTATTAAAAAGTCAAAAAATATCAGATGCTGGCAAGGCTGCAGGGGAAAGGGAACACTTACACAGTTTGTGGGAATGCAAATTAGTTCAGCCACTGTGGAAAGTAGTTCAGAGATTTCTCAAAGAACTTAAAACACAATTACCATTTGACCCAGCAATCTCATTACTGGATATATACCCAAAGGAAAATAAATTGTTCTACCAAAAAGACACATGCACACATATGTTTATCTTAGCATTATTCACAATAGCAAATACATGGAATCAACCCAGGTGTTCATAAATTATGGACTGGAAAAAGAAAATGTGGTACATAAACACCACGGAATACCACATGGCCATATAAAGAAATAAATCATGTCCTTTGCAGCAACATGGATGTAGCTGGAGGCCATTATCCCAAGCAAATTAATGAAGGAACAGAAAACCAGACACCACACATTCTCACTTATAAGTAGGAGCTAAATCTGGGGTTCTCACGGACATAATGATGGGAACAATAAGCACTGAGGACTACTAGAAGGCTAGAAAGGAAGGAAAGGAAACGGGTTGAAAAACTACCCCTTGGGTACAATGCTTACTACCTGGCTGATGGGATCATCCATATTCCACACCTCAGCATCATGCAATATACTCATGTTACAAACCTGCATATGTATACCCCAAATCCAAGATAAAAGTTGGAATTAAAATAAAGGTCATAAGTCTATTATAATGTTTACAAAATGAAACTTAAAAATAAGTAAAAAAAATTAAAACTAAATTAAGCCTCTCCACCAACACACATTAACGTTTTCAAATAACTGAGGATGGAGCAAAAAGAGTAACTGAGCTGATTAAAGAATATAAGATCCCTGAAGAGATATGTACGTCATTAATATGCTTTACAAGGTGCTTTCTATCCCTACTGTATGCTTCAAATTCTGGTGGCCACTAGACTGTTAGTGTACTTACATTTTTCATTAAGTAACACAAAAAAATTTTTGTAGGATAAAAAAATGTTAAAACCTGAAAAATATGTGATGGATATTTATTAACTGATGTCAGAAGGTGGACATAGGAGAAAAGGGTTACTGGAACTGCCCCAGATCTGCTAGTGTACCAAAAATGGAAACACAATCCCAGAGGGAAGAAGGAAAGGGTTCCAGATGAATTTCTTTATAAACTTGCTAATAACGGACCTTTTGGTAACAGACTAATAATGTTTGCTAGCAGAAGAATGCTTATCTGTGTAATGTTCTTAAAAGGATGCCCTTGGTTTAGGATTTCTTATGGGAAATAAAACTAGAATTTATGAAATTATGAAGCACATACCCCTGGAAAATGTCATGAAAACTGTTGAATATTCTAGGCATAAACTACAGACCTTTCATCATCTAAATGCCTTCACACTGTAAGATGACATGCATACCTAGATTACAAACCTTTTCTGTTACTGTAGGCCACAAAATGTGTCTCATGAGGAAAGAAGGACCTAGGAAGCCATATGGGATATCCAAGACCTCTCTCTGCTGTGCCTACACCATTTGGTTGCTTGTATCCTTAACATCAGGTAAGAGCTGAGAGTACGAGCATTATTTGAAAATTGGACCCTTTGTCATAGCTCATAGTGAATGAACCACAAATTCAACCATTTACCTTCATAAAATACCAGATTTAAGAAAACCTCATTCTAGAATGTTAAGACAAAGTAATTATTGAAGCAAAATTATAAACAAATTACTAACATCATACTTTCTTTAATGATAACATCTACCTATCTACTATCTGTTTATCTGTCTGTATCTATCTATCTACATATATATCTATAATAAAGTTATGAAGACAGTTTTGGCCTAAGTCCATAAACAGAAATCTAAATATTAATTATGAAGTCAGAGAATACATGTAAATATTGATTGTAAGTGACAGGAGATTTTTATTCTAGTTATGTTTTCAACTCAAGATAATTAACTAGGAGGGATTGATTGGTGAAAATTGAAACACTAAAGCTAGGGGATGGCATAAGAGTAAAGCAGCCAGTACCATTGTATTTTCCCTCTTAGGGAAGAGTTTTTGTTGAGTTGCAAAACATTCATTGAATCAATAAACCTGTGTACAGCAGCATCTTCTAGGCACTAGCTACTGTGTTTAGTTCTTCGTCAAAAATATAAATAACACAAGTTACTTCTATGAGGGGGATACTATTAATATTATAATCATAACAGAGGGTAGGTAAATCATGATAACACGATGCATCAAATGCTATGAGTAAAAATACCTAGAGGTAATAGGTGTACACACAAGCAGGATTAAATTTAGACTTGGGGTGGGTAAATGCGAAGGTGTGACCAGTGGAGAAGCGCTTTACTTTTTGCATGGCACAAAAATCAGATTTAGTAGTTGCTTTATCATTCCTTACTCAAAAAATCAATTACTTTTCTTGAAAAGATAATTTATGTCAAAAGGCTGTATACAGCAGTAACAAAATGTAATAAAGGTCCTTGCCAAAGCCCACTGCCTAGGAGTTCTTCAGCATTGCTTCCCCAAAGAAAAAACAAATAGAATTTAACAAACATCAGCTCATTATCAAATACAAAAATTATGTTAGTACTTAGTTTAAATATTTCACAGAATGAAAATGCAGAAATCATAATGGAATGCAGCACTTTGCTATTTTTATTTGCTCTAATGAATGTACTACATGGAGCTTTTTCCATTAGAATTCTTGCGAAGAGAAGAAACTTTAACCTTGGCACAAATGGAGCCTAATGTTTTTAGAAACTACATAGATATTTTTAAGAATAAGGAAAATAAAATGCAACCTGGTAAAATATGCACAACCATAGTTGATGAACATTGAAAATCCAGGCAGTTTCTTCTCCAAACCCTTTATTTAATGATGTAACTCTTCTCTTCTAAGAATTCCTAATTTGGTTGGCATCTATCTATAAAGGGAAGCCAGGTGCTTCTGATATTCAAACCTGTATCTTTCATATGTTTAAAAAAATAATGTTCTGGATTCTCTCTGATCTACTGCAGTCTGTTTCCTGGATCTCTGTATTCAGTTTAAATGGTTTCAAATGGAAGTCATATGTGTTTCCACTACAGAAAATACCAGTTGCTTTATTCAATGATGAAAAATTAGTGGATTCAGTGAAAAACAAAAATCTTGATCTCTAATGAAAGTTGATTATTTGAGGAACTCTGGTTGACTAGCTTATTTAATAAATGCAGAGGTACTAGGAATTCAAGAGCATATTTGAACTACTAGATTAGCCATTATTTAGCTTTTTCCTCTTCAGTGATAGTTGTTAACTCCTTAAAATAGAAAGGATTCATTAAAGAGAAAAAGAAATCTATTGAATTTCTATTTGTGGCAGACGTTGTACTACATACATTACATATATTATCTCATTTAATCCTTAAAAAAACTTATAAAGGATTATTTCACAGATAGAGAAGCCTAAAATCTGAGAAGTTAGCTGAATTCTATAGCTATTGAGAGTGTTAGAACTGAGATTTAAACTTAGGCCCAAATCAACCCTCAGATGAGCAATATGTCTCCTCAAACCTTGCTATTAGTCACACAGGGAAACAACTGAGGAATATGAAAAATTCACACAAACACATTTATTATGCTAGGAAAAGAGAAAGACAGATAATGTTAGGTTATTGGTAGAGTAGCACTCTTTCTACATAATCATATATATACACATATATGTATGTGTGTGTGTAAGTGATGGCAGTGGTGGCCCATCTGGAGTGGCCGCTGCCATGATGCTGGCTACCATGGGGGAGGTGCAGCCAGGGTTGTGCACTCCATGGAGCCAGTGGGAGCCAGGAATAGGCAGAAGCCCTGCACCCTTCTGAACTGGCAGGGTGGGAACCTCATACTCCCCATGTGCAGCTGCAGCTTCCCAGCCACTGCTCTGGACCTGGGCACCCCTTTGCTCTTGGAGACTGGGAGTAAGCAGGACCTCCACCCTCCCACCTACAGCTGCAGCTGCCCAAGCTGCAGCTGCAGACCCAAACATCTCTGCACTCTCAGGGGCCAGAGAAGGCCCTCCTTCCCCCACAGGTATGCATATGCCTGCTCCTGCTGCCTGGCCTCTCCCCGATCCTGGTGCTTGCTCCAATCTCAGAGTAAAATTGAGGCCAAGCCTGGGTGCTGCCACAACCCAGCCAGGTGTGTGCACGCTCAACACAGTGCTGACTCTGGACTTTGAGTGCTGACGAGGATGGGAGGGAGGCCCGGGGCATGCTCGGAGAAGCTCACAGATGACCTGCAGGCACCCCTTGGCAAGAACAGCCTCAGTGCCATGGATGAGGGCAGGAGGCAGACAGGCTCCAGGATAGAAAGGGGTGGGTCCCTGGTGAAGCCCCACCTTCAAGCCAGGGGTGGCCTGAAGCCTGGGGGCTGGGCTGTCAGTTCCATGGACCAGAATGAGAACTTATGATGCCTTTTCCAGGGCTGCCCATGGCCACCCAGGAACCAATCAGCATGCACTTCCTCCCCTCTGAAGCCCATAAAACCCCCAGACTCAGCCAGACTCAGAGAGATGACAGGATGACCTGCCTGTGAACAGGAGCTACTTATGCCAAGGTTTCCCCTCTGCTGAGAGCTGAGCAGATATCAGGACTACCAGTAGTGGAGAAGAGCTACCCAAAGAAAGGAGCTACCCACTGTGGGTCTCCTCTCTGCTGAGAGCTGAACACTCATTGGGACAACCTGCCTGCAGAGAGTAGTGACCCACTGTGGGTCTCCTCTGAGCTGTTATGTCACTCACTAAAGCTTCTCTTCACCTTGCTCACTCTCCACTTGTCCACATACCTCATTTTTCCTGGACACTGGTAAAGAACTCAGGACCTGCTGAATGGTGGCGCTGAAAGAGCTGTAACACAAACAGGGCTCAAACATGACCCTTGCTCACCATGTTGCGGATGACAAGAAAAGAGAGAAGGAAAGAAGAGCTGTGGCCTTTTGGGGAACCCAGACCTAGGAGCTCCCCAAGCCAGAGCTGTGACACACTCTTTGGGGCTCTGTGGTTCCTAGTGTCTCCAAGCTTCCAGGTGTCACTGCATTTCCCAGTGCCAGCCATGGAAGCTGCTCGTTGTAACACCTTGTGCAGCTATAGCCTCACAGGGAGCCGGCACCTGTACCAGTGCCTGGAGCTGCCTGCCCCACTGCAGCCAGTGTGCCTGGCTGTGCACAGTGGCCAGACCCCATGCTTGCTCACTCACACACCCCTTACCACTCTATTTGCCCTTGGCAAGCACGGACCCAGGCCAATAGCATGAGCTAAGTGCAGTCTGCCTGGCAAAGCAGGCAGAAAGAGCCCAGTGGGTCCCAGCAAAAGTCAGGCAAAGGCACTGTTGACCACAGAGGTTTCTGGCCAGAAACCAACACCCTCAAAGCTCACATCACATAAGCATATATATATATATATAAATGTATACGCATATACACTTATATATACACACACATACACACGTAACACATATGCTTACCGAATACATCTGTTGAATACATTCTAAATTCCACCCAACATAAAAATACTTTTGGAAAAGGGCTACAATACTTTTGGATAATTATAATGATAAGACATTCTCAAAGGAAAATAAAAGTACTTTCTGTCAAGTAATTGTAAATAATCTCAGATATTTAAATTAAGCTACTATTTAAAGTTTTTAAATTAAGCTACTATTTAAAGTTAAGGTATGGGTTTTCTGCATAACTCTTTCCATAACATATAATGTCCATAAATCTTGAAAGAGTGTAGTATTCAATACTTAAATATCACAGTTCTCACAAATTAGTAAACCAGATAGCATGAGTGAAATAAAAATTAATTATCTCAAAAACATTAGTCAGAGTGTGATATTTTGAAACTAAGTATAGAAAGACATGAATAATCAATCTCTTTTTATAGTTACCCAAATCACCTCAAGATAAATGATGCTATGTAATTAAATAGAGGAAAGTTTACTCTGCTCAGATCCATGGGGAGCAGTAAATCTTTAACACTTACTCATTTATGTTAATTAGGTATCCACAAAAGGCATTGGTGTTATTAAAAATGGTTGTAGGGCTTTTAAAAAAAAAATATTATTCAGGTGAATTTAAAGTGTTTTTTAGTCAAGTATCAAAGAAAAAAAGAAAACAGTGCATGCTTCTTCATTCTTATCAAAATAAAACAGGCAATAAAGATACGACCAGCATCCAGTAGAACTGACAAGAGGATGCAGCCAAATGAACATATGCTAGTGTTATGAGGCATGAAGAGGTTTAAAATATAGCAAGAAGCACAGTTTAACTACCAAGATACCTGGAACGAAATCAGGGGCAATTGTATATTTGCTAGCATTTGGGTCATGCGGAGACTTGCTCTAAGTCATTTCTCCTTTCTGCACCTCCCTTTCCTCTTTGGAAAAACAAAAAAATCAGAATACAATATAATATTACAAAGTTAATGCAATGATCACATGAAATAATGAACATGAAATGCTTTGCAAACTATACAATGATATAAAAATATAGAATATTTTATTTCTTTGTAGAGTAAAAATTATTCAGAGCGAATAAAAAGTATATAGCAGTGTGAAAAGAAGACAGGCTAGAGGGTTGGATAATCCATTTAGGACAATCTACATTTTTAAGGGAATTTCAGCCTATCTCACTGATCAGATTGACTCATGCTCACTCTTGGCAGCATGACACAGACGATTTGTGAGTCCCTGTCCTATTTTCTCTCACTCATCATTAAATGGGCTGGGCCACTCTGGAAAATGAAAAGAGAGGCAGATGGAAAAGCTGTTTTGACGCTGTCATGTCTGGTTTTAAGACTATCCAGGCTCTGCTTCTTTCTAAGAAATGGAAGCCAGGGTTTCTTAATTTTCCACACCCCAAAATAAACACAGTCGGCTGTGGACAGAATTACACTCAGTGGCCTTTGTTTAGCATTACTTCGTGTCTACTTGTTTCAAGGCACTAACTTAACAGGCAAGTCTCTCTCCTTGCTGAACCATTACAAGAACAATGACATTGATTATGAAGCGCAAGAGTGGCATTTTGCCCTTGGCTGTGGATGGCACATTTCAAGGAGCTTAGGATGTCTTCCACCATCTCCAATCAATCTCTAACTTAAGTCTCAAACTGATTAGCATCATTGCGTTTGCTTCTCTCTCCACACCCAAATAAATGATTACAAGTGACCTCAACATAACAAAGGACAAGCAACAAGTTACTTACTAAAGAAATGTAGTAAAGTAGGAGCGGAATTTAGAAAGAGCCATGCTAATCTACTATGCTTTTTATATCCCTACCATATGCTAAGCACTATAATTGTTGTTTGACTAAGGTCTTTCTTTTAATTATTACAACAGTCCTTTATATATAATTATTTTAAAGCTTTTGGATCAAGAGAATTAAAATCAGAAAGCCTAATTTGCTTAAGCAATGATTGCTGGAGTCAGGGACTGAATCCAAATCCATAGCCTATATTCCTATCATTAGGACAGCACTTCTCAGACTTTGTAAGGGTTTTGTGTTCATTTTTGTTTTTGTTTGGTTGTGATTGCATTACCAACAGGGAAACACTTTTATCAAACAAAATCTCACAGAGAAACTCAAATGTAAAATAGACATGAATGTAGTTAATCTGGTTGAGAAGGAAGTCATAAAGAGGGGACCTTCACTGATAGCCCCACAATATCCCTTTGTGGCCCCTCTGATATTTTTTTCTAAAGCTTTGTCTCTCTCCATAACTCAGAAAAACTATTTACCCCACCAAGATAATGTGTGCCATTTTTCTGAAAATTGCTCTTGGGAGGTACAAAGGAAATTGTAGCAGATAGCATCGAATGAGACTTCGGAAAGGCAGAGGACAGCCACAGAGAGGAGACCAAAATGGGGCCACAAATGTAATTTGCCTATTTCACAATTCAACCTATGCCCAGTCCTGGCTGTAATACATTCAATATCATTTAGGCTAAGGATTGTGAATGCAAATTTATTTTTATCAGCATTCTCTCAGATTATGAATCATATATTTTCCTAGTCACACCTTACATTAAAGGAATGTCTGATTTATAACTGCTTTATTTGTCCTTAAAGAATAAAGATGAAAAATGCATTTTAAAGGCACCATTATTGAATTAAACAGCATCTTAATTAATGTGCCTTTAATTAAACAAAATAAATTTTCTTCGTAAGATCCTGATTTTTTTTTCCACCCCCTCTAGGAGAAAGAGCAGAATCAATTGTTTCAACTCATTAGGTTTTAAAGTTTTAACTGACTGAAAAGTTGGGTTCCTGAATTTATATTACAACTTATTCACAATGGGAAATTAATAGCTCATAAATAAAACTTCTCTTAAGAGCAAATAATATTAAACATTTTCCTAAGATATGCATTTTTTTAAAATTGAACTTATTTTAATTTCTGTCTTCTGTCCCAGGTGGGCACAGCCTAACAATGGAACACAGCAGCTGCAATGGACCAGAGTAACTTGGGAACCAAAGTGCACATACTTGTAGCTTCACCTTCTCATTTGCCATTTTTTGTTTCTTGCTAGCCAAGGGCAGAAGGACTTTTAAATTATTGGTGGTTTTAATTCATATCCAAAAATACAGGCTAAGCAAATATGACATAGGAGTTGACAAAATTGAGTGAGAAAAGTTTCTTTAAAAAAAAACAGACTGAAAAAAATGTTGAGAGCAATCTTTTGCTGACAGTTGAAGAACTGTTAAGAATGAAATACTATTCATTAAAAGGATCTGTGAAATCATTTACCCTTGTTATAAAATAGTTATATGCAAATACACTTGTCATTTTATTTGGCAAAGTCATTCAGTTTGATAATCAACAAACATTTATTACGTGCCTTTGCTTTAACCAACATTACTTTCATTTAATACTCAGAAATGTTAAGATGTGATATTTCTGAATACTAACTCTATGGTGTGTTTAATTTTTCAACTATTCTTTGTGTCACGAGCTGAACTAGCAAGAAGACTCTTTAGTAGGGTTTACTCCTTTGTTCTTTATTTTCCTAAGTACAAACCATTTTATGAAAAAATTGTTCACTGCACTAAATCTTCAAGTGGAAATGGCTTATTGAGTAGACCAAAACAAAAAAAAAGAGACAAATAATTAGTAGATAACAGCTACAAAAAGAAATCTTCTATGAAATGTGGACTAAGTCAAGTTTCTTTTTCTGTAGCTGGGTTCAGAACATACACTGTATAGAAATGCAATTAAAAAGAAAAGCGTATTTAATGTTGGGGTCCCAGGAACAATTTGAAAGATGACATTGGTCTTCCTTGGTCGTAGGTTTGAGACTCTGCAAAGTAGTGTCTATTCTTCAAACATCAATGGAAATACTCACCTCTAGTCTGCCAAACCAATGCATTGTAATGAGAATTCTCTGCATTTCATCTTAAACTTTAAAGTATATAAGTACCACCAAAGGGCGCTAATTTAAAGTGCAGGATCCCAAGCCCAACATCTAAAGTTTCTAACTCAATGGGCCTGGTATAGAGTTTCAACAAGTCTATTTCTCTTAACTGATTCAGAAACAAGTAGTCTGGTGACCATGAAGAAACATACCTTAAGTGTTTTCTATGTGTGTTTTTTTTTTCTGAATATGCTTTGTAGAGGATTGGAAAATATCAGACGAAAAAAATACTGAGAAGAAAACATAATCACCCATAGTCCTACGACTCCAATATAGCTGCTATTTAATCAGCACAATAACGTCTAGGTATATATATAATAATCTACAGGTTTTTTTCATTCTATATATATCACAGGTTTTTTTCTTTCTTTATATATATATATATATATATATATACACACACACATTATATATATATACACTCATAATATATATATATTCTATATACATAATATATATATTCTCTTACATATATATTCTGTAATATTGCAGGCATAATTTATTGTAATATAGCAAAAACTTCAGTCATTAAAAACTGTCCAGGTATAAAATTATGTGTTAATACAATTTTTTCTCAAGATTTTGAGTACATGGTTCCATAGTAGTCTAATGCACAGTGTGGCTAATAAAAAGTCTAATGATTGATTTCTGGTTGCTTTATACATGACTTTTTAAACAATCTCTGAAAACTTAACAGATGTTATTTATATGCTTGATACTCTCAAATTGCATCTGCCTGTGTAGTATAAATAAAAATAAACCTACAAAATCAGAGAGGTTAAACAAATGGATTCTATTAAACATATTTTCTATATTTTCCTTTATTCGTTTAATAATGGACCTTAGATATTTTTTTCAAATTAGTGTTTTAAGATCTCATTTTTAAATGGCTAAGTAGCATTCAGTTTTATGAATATACCATAATTTAAGTCCTCCCCAAATGATGGACATTTAAATATTCCAAATTTTACCCAATTAAAATCAGTGCTAAAATAAACATGTTTAGCCATAAACATTGGACTAGTTATTAATAAGTTTAAGATGAAAAGCAGAGAATTCTCGTCATAATGCATTGGTTTGGCAGATTAGAGATGAGCATTTCCACTGTGTTTTATTGATGTTTGAAGAATAGACACTACTTTGGAGAGTCTCAACCCTATGACTAAGGATGACCAATGTCTTGGACCAACCAACTATTGGAAACATGTTCAAGTATTTCTATAACATGGATTCCTAAGCATAAAATTTGCCGTTAAAGAATTTTTGAAATATTGTTAGGCTGCTATTGAAAATACTGAGATAAGATACTGAGGTAAGATTTGTGTGTAAGAAACTTGTTGGGAGATACTCTAGTTATTAATATCTATGAGTGAGTGAAAGGAAAAGATGAATTCGCAGTAAAGGCTCCAGCCAAACCCAACAATGGGATCAGGAACTGAGGTATCCTTTAAAGGTATTCTCCAGTAGGGCAAGTGGGCTTAGCTTTTTGTAGTTTTACATCAACTAGTCATTGGCTGCCCCAAGAAAAGAGCATAGTCTTGGTCATTTTAACTCCCCGCCAATCCCCAGAGGCATTCAGCCAAAAGATGTCAGCTGACAACTCTGAGCAGCTGAGATAATGAGTGCCTCCTACTTGAGGTAGTAGGGGTTTGGCCGGTGAACCAAAACATGTACTACCATCTACCACTTTGTATTCATTATATCTACATGTCTTATATAAATTCTGATAGCAACTCCTAATCTGGTGCTTCTCTTTTATTCAAGAAAATTTATGAGACAGATAAAAATTAGTGGAATGAACTGTCACCCCTCAATTCCACAAATGATCTGCAGTATCTCACTCTTTTACTTTATTCTACATATTCCTCATCTCTGATGATAACCTTTGCTGGCCAAGGTGACCTGCCTGGTAGAATGACGCAGACCTTCCTCCAGTGAGGCCCTAGTCCTCTAAAAATAATAATAACAATAATAATACAATAAAATAAAAGCATTTCTCTTCTACACTTCTAATAAAACCTCTAAACCTCTAGATCCAAGAACTGTAGGGATGGCAAGCACATATTTCATGAGTCGGTCACAGGAAATAATGGTGAGTGGAGTGTTATTTTATGTACCCCTTTGTTTCTGGACTCATTTTTTAAATTCTACCTTTTGGAGGCACAGTACTATATACTGGTCATTGATTTGGAGTATACACTGCATCCTGAAAAATGGCACCCATAATCTTAGGGTATTATATCCAAACTAATATTTGGCTATACTTTCACCAGAACTCAATTAAGACTAGTGGTTTCTGAGTTGTATAGCATGTGATTAAACCAATGGACTCCATTTTTATGTATTTATCCCCTCATCTCCTTTTCTCTGAAGATCACAGGTTATAAATATTTATCATTCCACAAGATTCCAAATAGTAGTTCTGGCTACAGTCCTACAGGCAGGTAAGGTAAGCTCACACTCAAAGTCTAAGTCAATTTTAGAAAAGATGAATATCTGCCTCTTCAAGGATGGAAAGCATTCAATAACAACATGAAACCAAGTGGCTGTTTGGTATTTTAGATGAATGGTGCCATATTGGGTCTTCAGGGTTGGTCTTTGTTAAAATTTAAACCAAGGATGGAACAACCATGGTGAGTGGGAGCCTAATCGTTGGGCATATACAAAGGCTTCATCCCTGATCCAGTGTCTATTGAATTCATTTACCCATTGTGCCAACACTGGAATGGCCAATGGCATGTTGGCTGACATCAGTTGACTGAATTATGTATTTTTAGAGCTCCTTTCATGGTGAACTTTATCTGAAGAATATTAACATACAATACAAATACCTTCACACTTTATGCCCTCTTCAGTAGGTCAGTCTTCATGCTTCTTCGCCAGACCTCCTTGACCCAAGTCCTCTAATCTTTTTATAATACTTCTGTGCCACTGACCAGCCAAATAAGTTATTTATTATTTTCTATATGCTATTTCATATTCCTAACTGAGGCTGTTTCTCTTTCCACATCAATCGATCGACCAGGTGCAACTGGTCCAGCCCCAGGTCTAAATTTCATGTGTGATCTTTCAGGCTCTACCAAAGACTTTACCTGGCAGGCCTCATGGAGGGAAAGCTGCCCTTCCCACAAAAGATTTGGTGCACAACCAATGCATTGGAGTCTCAGGAAGAAGTTGCAGGCAGGGATTCAGGCCTATTCCAGCCAGCCATGCTCATATATGCATGGCTTCATTCTTAGCTTAGGCATCTCTATTCAGAGGCCTCACCCAAAATATTTTTCAGGCACCTCTTCTTTATGAGGGGTACTTGAAGACACTTTTCTCCACTTCAACTCAATTCTTTGAGACTTGTGCCTTCAAGGAAAAAGAACATAGAGCACTTAGGGATAACTTCACCCAGCAAACAAAAAAGGCCTGAGAGAATGTGTTAGTTTGCCTCAATAATGAAACAAGCATCTTGTTAAACTTAGTGAAGGAGACTGGTTCCTTACAGGAACATCACTACAAACCCCTTCTTCAGACTACCCTGATAAATCATGACTGCCTACAGAGGAGGTGCAAGGTATTGAGTGAATGAGACAGTACACATATCTAAGACCCTCTTCTTCCTCAGTTGGGTACCAGCTATGCTCTGGCACACCTGACTCACTGGTGATAAATTCCTTGCCACTCACAAACATATTTGAACCACCCTCACAAAGCCAGCCCTAAAAACACCCTTGGATCTACAGTGAAGTAGTGGGAACAGTACATGATAAGATCATTAATAGACTCAGATTTCTAGGTTTATTCATGCCTCTCCTGATGGCTATTGAGGCCACTGCTTGAAGTCAGGCCCATTGTTTCACAACACAATCTGACTCTTTAC